>NC_000023.11:34843910-34994266 GCF_000001405.40 Homo sapiens
TAATAACCATTCCACAACCTGTTGTATATGGGTGTTTATGGGCATAAAATATAACCCCAAGAGATGTGCAGCTCATAGATTTAAAATTTTAATAATGATTCATGATAGTTTGACTATTTGAGTGACCTTAGCAAGGTGAATTGGAAGCAGGTAGATATTTAAATATTAAGTCAGTCTCCATTCTTAGTTAAAAGGAAAAAAAAGTTACGTAGTACATTTTGAGTGTCAATGACAAATACTTTTTCATATGGACTACATCTGTTGAGAGAAAGCATTAGTGATGGAATACTAATAAATCAGCGATTCTTCAGCATGCATTTTATTCTTTATTGCATTTATAGAAGAATAATGTCCACATTAAAGGAACTGATAATTCCAGAGTATTTGATAATTGTCAGGCCTTATGTAGCATGCTGGTGTCAGTTCTGGGTGCCATATTTTAAGAGGCTCTTTGAAAGACTGGAATATGTTCAAAGGAAGCTGAGTGGGAGCTTGAAATGGTGATGTAAGAGGAATTAGTGAAAATTTTGAAAATGTTTAGCTTGAAGATCAGAACACATAGTAAGCACATAACAGTTATCTTTAAAAATTGAAATTGTCTCCAGTCATTCAGTACAGTTTTTCAGGAACTATCCCACAACAGGTATTGAGTATGGGGCCCTGAAGTGAGCAAAAATGAATATGGAGGGGATGCTCTTTATAAAATAATACACAGAATAATTATAATTCATGGTATAATTGTGAAAATTCAACCAAAAATGTAGCCCCGAAAAGTGACAGGGAATTATATGAGGAACGAAGTACTAAAATATACTTTAGGTTGATTCAAATTTCAGAACTAGGGACAATGGGTTCAAGGAACAAGACATACATTTTTTAAAACAGTATAATGAAGATGTTTCTGATAATTATATTATTTTTACAGAAATTTCACACTAAGCTAAGCCCTGTATTAACTCATGGAATTATCACAATAATCTTTTTAATGATTGGTTTTTTAAAATTTTATTCTAAAAAAAAATACATGTGCAGAACCTGCAAGTTTGTTACATAGGTATACGTGTGCCATGGTGGTTTGCTGCACCTAATGACCCATCCTCTAAATTCCCTCCCCTCACCTCCCACCCCCTAAAAGGCCCTAGTGTGTGATGTTCCCCTCTCTGTGTCCATGTGTTCTCATTGCTCAACTCCCACTTATGAGTGACAACATGTGGTATTTGGTTGTCTGTTCCTGTGTTAGTTTGCTGAGGATGATGGCTTCCAGCTTCATCCACATCCCTGCAAAGGACATGATCTTATTCCTTTTTATGGCTGCATAGTATTCCATGGTGTATATGTGCCACATTTTCTTTATCCAGTATATCACTGATGGGCATTTAGGTTGGTCCCATGTCTTTGCTATTGTAAACAGTGTTGCAATAAACATACATGTGCATGTGTCTTTATGATAGAATGATTTACATTCCTACAATCCCAGTAATGGGATTGCTGGGCCAAATGGTATTTCTGGTTCTAGATCCTTGAGGAATCACCATACTGTCTTCCATAATGGTTGAATTAATTTACAATCCCACCAACAGTATAAAAGCGTTCCTATTTCTCCACAGACTCACCAGCATCTATTGTTTCCTGACTTTTTAATAATGGCCATTCTGAGTGGCGTGAGATGGTATCTCATTGTGGTTTTGATTTGCATGTCTCTTATGATCAGTGATGTTGAGCTTTTTTTCATATGTTTATTGGCCACATAAATGTCTTCTTTTGAGAAATGTCTGTTCATATCCTTTGCCCACTTTTTAATGGGATTGTTTGTTTTTATCTTGTAAATTTGTTTAACTTTGTTTTAGATTCTGGATATTAGACCTTTGTCAGATGGGTAGATTGCAAACATTTTCTCCCACTCTGTAGGTTGCCTGTTCACTCTGATAATAGTTTCTTTTGCTGTGCAGAGCTCTTTAGTTTAATTAGATTCAATTTGTCAATTTTGGCTTTTGTTGCAATTGCTTTTGGCATTTTTGTCATGAAGTCTTTGTCCGTGATAGGTCCTGAATGGTATTGCCTAGGTTTTCTTCTAGGGTTTTTATTGGTTTGGGTTTTACATTTGAGTCTTTAATTCATCTTGAGTTAATTTTTGCATAAGGTGTAAGGAAGGGGCCCAGTTTCAGGGTTTTCTGCATTTGGTTAGGCAGTTTTCCCAGCAACATTTACTGAATAGGAGATCCTTTCCCTATTGCTTACTTTTGGCAGGTTTGTCAAAGCTCAGGAGGCTGTAGATGTGTGGTGTTTTTCTGAGATATCTGTTCTGCTCCATTGGTCTATATGTCTGTTTCAGTACCCATACCATTCTGTTTTGCTTACTATAGTCTTGTAGTATAATTTGAAGTCAAGTAGCGTGATGCCTCCAGCTTTGTCCTTTTTGCTTAGGATTGTCTTGACTATACAGGGTCCCTGATTAGACCAATAACAAGTTCTGAAATTGAGGCAGTAATTAATAGCCTACCAATCAAAGAAAGCCCAGGACCAGATGGATTCACAGCTGAATTCTACCAGAAATAAAAAGCCCAAAGCTCCTTAAGCTGATAAGCAACTTCAGCAAAGTCTCAGGACACGAAATCAATGTGCAGAAATCACAAGTATTCCTTTACACCAACAATAGACAAGCAGAGAGCCAAATCGTGAATCAAATCCCTTTCACAATCGCTACAAAGAGAATAAAATACCTAGGAATACAGCTAATAAGGGATGTGAAGGACCTCTTCAAGCAGAACTACAAACCACTGCTCAAGGAAATAAGAGAGGATGCAAACAAATGGAAAAACATTCCATCCTCATGGATAGGAAGAATCAACATTGTGAAAATGGCCATACTGCCTAAAGTAATTTATAGATTCAAGGCTATTCCCAGCAAACTACCATTGACATTCTTCACAGAATTAGAAAAAACTATTTTAAATTTCATATGGCATTATTATCATTTTTACAGATGAGGAGCATGGGTCACAGAGATTTTAAGCAACTTGCCCAAGGTCACACAGCTAGCAAGTAAGAGAATACAGCTTGAATCTAGACTATATAGCTCAAAAAATCATGCTTTTCAACCTCCAAACAACACTGTCTCTTCAGTTAGATTGTCAGTCCCCATCACAGGAAATTTTACTGCACAATCTCCATGGCTATTTGTCAAAGGTGGCACTGCCCAAGTTGAGATGATATTCTAAATGACCTTTGAGAATTTTCTGTCTGATTATTATGAGTCTATGGCAATACTGAGATAAGCTCGTGAGCAATCAGTAATCATTAGTTCACAAGCTAAGAGTAATACACTGGACACTTATGTTAAGCCGGATCAAGAACCCCTATCTTTTGGTTATAGTCAGGATAGATATTTGTATACCTCTACTGCCCGGCAATTGTGTTTTATTTTCTAGAGAGCACAGCTCTTTCCTTGCTAAATGAAAATATTATTCATCTTAATATTCTACTCCCTTGGCATCTGTTCCTTATGCCATTCAACAATATTGCACTCCTCATTGTTTGCCAGTGTGCAGTTTTCCTTTGTCCCCCATGCTTTAACTGAGGTTTACAACAGCAGCTGTTTAGCTATATTTCTAACATTCATCTCCCGAAAAAGAGTATGTTTGAACTTCATTGCAACAAAACTTTTTCTTGTATACTGATGGATTAACACTCTTCTAAAGGCAAACCATTTAAAGTTTTTAGTTTTAAAAGAGTGCTGTATTTTACTTCTTTTTTGAGGTTTACAAAATATTCCACATTACGGGTAACAGTGGTCGATCTATGTCTCTTCTCAGAAAAGATATGGGATCACTACATTGAAGTTCACTGGTTTGATTTGGAGCTCAGTGTGATTTTGGTGCCATGCTCAACTCTTCCTTCATACTCACTCTCAACTGAAGATTTTGCTTCCCATTTTAGTAAATGAGGAAGAAGATAATTTCCACAAACTCTCACTACCAGTGTCTTCATCTGTACTCACGTGCCCTGCTTTCTTTCTGGTCACTATGAACTGACTGTTCTAATGATGAAGATGAACACTTCCACTTGTGTACTTTGTAATCTCTTTCTGCCTACTAAAGGACTTTGATGAAGTAATATATCTCCTTTTCTGAATAGTAAATTTATTTATTAAGATTTAAAAGTATTAGGAAGAAGCAGGTATGATAGAGGGCAAAATCAAGAACTCCTTTTTGGAGTGTCCTGCGAAATACCTGCCTAATGCAATATCCAAGTGGAGATATCAAATTGGTGGATTTATAAATTAGTCTGGTGTACCAAGCAGGTCTCAAGCACAGGCAGGTAATTTTGGAATTAAAAAGTATCTACATGGTATTCAAAGCCATGAGAAGTCACTGGGTAGACAAAAAAAAAAAAAAAAAAACCAGAAGGTCACTGATTGAGTCTTGGAGACCTCATTAAAAAGCCAGCAAAATACTGTGAGTGGGAATGTTCCACAGGACAGGAAGAAGTGCAATGTAATGAAGAACAGACGAAGACAGTGTTTCAAGGAGGGAGTGGTCAACCATGCTGATTCCTGCTAAGAAATACATTAAAAAAATAAGTGAATGTTGGATTTCGCAACAAAGAAGTCATTTTCCTTAGGCAATTGAGTTACTGATGAGTAACGGAGGCAGAAATTCCAAAATTTTTTCTAAAAATATTTTCTGTGAAGAGGAAAAGAGAAATTGGCTTGTACATGGTGTGGGATGTGTATTTTCAAAGGTATGTCAAGAAATTTGTGTGTTCAGAAAAATGCTATAGAATCCCCAAACCAGTTAAGTTATATGATACTAAGATGGCAAACATAGAGGACATCGTTAAAGTACTGAAAGGGCTAAAATATAGTGAAGAAAGATAAATATTATATCTAGATTAAGGTTAATGAATAAGTCAATAATTATAAAAATTGACAAAATGTTTTTACAACTATGGACAGAGAAGACCTCTCAGTAGTGTTCTCTGGGATAGGTAGAGACAGACTGGTTTTCTACAAAGACAATCAATATTATTGATACCACTAAAATCTGTCCTTAGTGCACCTATTACTTAGAAATATTATGTTATTTAACTTTGGGAAAGCATTTATATCTTTTTAGATCAGACATTTGTTTCCAAAATTCCAAAAAAATGTATTGAGAGTTTATTATGAAAAATTCATAGATTCCTCCATCACTATTTTCCTTAATAGAATTCCAGATACTGATAATTTAATAAAACTCTCACTGGTTCATGTGTAAGGCTACAAAGTTTGCTATGATCAACCCAAACTATGTGTTCTTTTTTCACTATAACTTGCAATTATTCACTAACAAGAAATAAGAATTTTTCCTGTTTTGGAGCCACAAATTAAAGCCATATCAAACTTCGCAGGAAAAATTAAGATTCGGTAGATTTCAAGGTTAGATGATAAATCTTAACTTTATTCCAGCTTAGCTAATTATAAACTTTGATTTAGTAATCAGGAATGTACACTGTTTCTATTGTTAACATTGCTGAAAACCCACAATGATTATAATTATTATTGTGCAAAGGGCAATTCTTTGTACATAATAGATGAGCAACAAGGATCTGTCATTTCATTTCAAAAGAAATGTTTGGAACTCATTGCAAGACTTTTTATGTTCTCTTACTAGAAAACTCTGTTATTTTTTGCAAGTTAGGCCTCTGTAACTAAATAGTGAGTCATTCAGGCTAATCTAAATACTGTAACAAGAAGCATTTGTCCTAGATTATATAAGAGGTAGAGTGAAACCTATTTTCTACTCGAACCTGGAGACAGGACTAGGTTAAATAGTTAAAGATAAAAGTTGATTAGTGAGGTAGTTATAGAATGTAATTAAAAGACTCTCCATTATACTAATCCTGATCCTCCTCTTATCATCATCTATTATCTATTTGGCATATAGTCACCCTACCTGGAAAATTAGGACAGTTTGAGAGCCACACCCTTCCTTCTCATCTCCCATCCTCACTTCCAGAGCATTGATGAGAGTAATTCACCCTTTATCATACATAGATTACACCTGAATTTTTAGCTATATCAATCTTTGAGCATCTGCTGGGCCTTTGTCAGCATTTAAGATGAATATCTAGGAAATGAATACCTATTGAAATATTTGCCCATTTTTAATCAGATTATTAGATATTTTCCTATGGAGCTGTTTGATCTCCTTACATATTCTGGTTATTAATCCCTTGTAAAATGGATAGTTTGCAGATATTTTATCCCATCCTGTGGATTTCTTCTAAACACATTAATTTGGGGAGACAGCTGTCCATCTTTGTGAGTTCTATGTATTTATCCTTCCTTTTAACAGTGATGTGAAAGCAAGTGAATTTATTTGCAAATAATTTCTAACATATACATAGGAAGATATATTATTACAAAATTACCTTAAGTTTTGTTCAAATTTCCTCCTGGAAAGGATAAAACAGGTTGATAGAATTTACTTCTTACATTTTTTTATTTGTGTTTCTTGTGGGTACATATTAGGTGTATATATTCATGGAGTACATGGAGATATTTTGGTCCAGGCATGTAATGCACAGTAATCACATCATGGAAAATTGGGTATCTATCCCACCAAGCATTTATCCTTTGTGTTACAAACAATCAAATTATACCCTTTTAGTTAGATTAAATTTAATAGTTTTAAATGTACCCTTAAATTATTATTGACAATAGTCCCCTTGTTGTTCTATCAAATACTAGGACTTATTCATTCTTTCTATATTTTTTATACACATTAAGTATCCCCAACTCCCCCTTCCCCTTTACTACCATTCCTATCCTCTGGTAACGATCCTTCTATTCTCTATGTCCATGAGTTCAATTGTTTTGATTTTTAGGTTCCGCAAATAAGTGAGAACATTAAATGTTTTTCTTTCTGTGCCTGGCTTGTTTCACGTAACATAAAGATCTCCAGTTCCATCCATGTTGTTGCAAATGAGAGAATCCCATTCTTCTTATGACTGAATAGTACTCCAATGTGTATAATTTTCTTTATCCATTCATCTATGACATTTTCTTTATCCATTCTTCTACTGATGGACACTTAGGTTGCTTTCAAATCATAGCTATTGTGAACACTGCTGCAACAAACATAGAGTGTAGATATATATTTAATATACTGATTTCCTTTATTTTAGGTATACACCCAGCAGTGGAATTAAAGGATTGTATGGTAGCTCGATTTTTAGCTTTTTTTGAGGAACCTCCAAACTGTTCTTCATAGTGCTTGTACTAATTTACATTCCTAACAACAGCGTATGAGGGTATCCTTTTCTCCACATCCCCACCAGAACTTGTTATTGTCTGACTTTTGGATGAAAACCATTTTAACTGGGGTGAGATAATATCTCACTCTAGTTTTGATTTGAATTTCGCTGATGATCAGTGATGTTGAGCACCTTTTTATATGCCTGTTTGCCATTTCCATGTCTTCTTTTAGGAAGTGTTCATTGAAATATTTGCCCATTTTTAAATTAGATTATTAGATTTTTTTCCTGTAGAGTTGTTTGAGTTCCTTATATATTCTGGTTATTAATCCCTTGTAAAATTGGTAGTTTGGGTAAATTTGAAAGGCAGTTTAGGACACAAGGACTGTAATCCCTAGGCAACTTCTAGTCCTAGGCTTGGCTTAGAGCCAGTGAATAGGGTGCCACATGACCTACGGAGAAACCAACTGGCAAAACTAAGGGAGTGTTTGTACCATCCCTTTCCAAACCCCAGGCTGTGCAGATCACAGCAAGAAAAGTGACTCCGTCCTTCTATTTGGGGAGAGGAGAGCAAAGAGCAAAGATGACTTTCTCTTGCATCCTGGAGACCAGCTAAGCCACAGTATGATAGGGCACCAGGAAGAGTCATAAGGCACGCATTCCAGGCCCTATCTCCCAGATGACATTTCTAGACACATCCTGGACCAAAAGGGGACGAGGCACGTCTTACAAGGTGGAAGCCAAGAGAGGGGGAGAGTGTGCAAGAGTGCAGGAAAATCTACCATTTATAAAACCATCATATCTCCAGATAATTCACTCACTATCACAAGAACAGCATAGAGGAAACAGCCCCCAGAATCCGTTCACTTCCCTCCCTCGACAGGTGGGGATTACAATTCAAGATGAGACTTGGGTGGGAACACAAAGCCAAACCATATCATCACTTAAATGTCACTTGGAATAGGCTTAGATTACAGATAAATTGCAAAGATAGTTAAAGAGAGCTCTCAGATACCCCATACCCAGTCTTTTCTATTGTTAACATCTTACATCTGTTACAACTAAGAATTCAACATTGGTACATTACAATTATGTAAACTCCACATGCTATTTGTATTTCATTATTTTTCCTCCTAATGTCCTTTGCCTATTCCAGGATCTTATCTAGGACACCAAATTACATTTTGTCATGTCTCTTTAGCCTCCTCTGCTTTGTGGCATTTTCTCAGACTTTCTTTGTTTTGTATGATCTCGACAGTTTTGAAAAATGCTCTTTAGGTATTTCATAGAATGTCTCTCAGTTTGGATTTGTCTGATATTTTTCTCGTGGATAGATAGGGGTTATGGGTTTGGAGAAGAAAAACCACAGAGGTAAAGTATCATTTTCACTGCATCATATCAAGAGAAGATACTACTGATGTGACTTATTGTTGTTGATGTACACCTTAATCACTGAGGTGAATATGTTTGTCAGGTTTTTCCACTGTAAAGTTAATTTTTTTCTCCCTTCTTATACTGTACTTTTTGGGAGGAAGTCACTACGTATGGCTCAAACTTAAAAAGCAGGGAGTTAAGCTCCACCTCTTTAAGAGTGGAATATCTACATAAATTATTTGGAAGTCTTCTGCATAGGAGATTTGTGTATTTTCCCCATTTATGTATCTAGTCAATCATTTATTTATGTCAGTATGTTCTTTTGGATATTTATTTAATACTTTGGGTATAGTCCAGCATCACTTCTTTTCTTTTTTTGCTCCAGTGTTTCCAGCTTTAGTCGTGATGGACTCTTTCACTTAGCTCCTTTGTCTCTTTGGCATGCCTCATAATTTTGATTTACAAGTACATCCTTACTTGCTGGCATGACAAAATGCTCCAGTCTCATCTTATATGTTCTCTGCCTCTGCCTACAATCAGCAATTTCTTTTTAAAAAACCCTCAAGGTCTGGGTTCTGGTTAAATTCGTTGCTACTTGGTTGTCATTTACTTGTAGGCCCTGTCAGTGAACAGAGCTAAGAATATATGTATGTATACTAGCCTATGTCTATACACATAACTAAAAGTAATTCTCTATCTATGCCTCTGTATCTACATCAAGCCTAAACATGAGTTAGTACTGATTTCTCCATATCTACTCCAGTACAACATGGTCCATTCTGGCTTTCCCCCTTTGCTTATCTGTAACCCTCCCACTCCAACGTTGGGAAGCTTGGCTTCTACTATCTACCTCCATTTACTTGTGTGTTCAATCCCAGTAAACATGTACAGCAGCTTCAGAATCGTTAATCCATATCTCCATGAGACTTTAACAACAGAATACAGTCTTTATGTACCTTTCTTTTTGTTCAAAGTAACTCAGGTGAGTACCATTATTCTCTTCACTTTCAATGAGATTATGGCATACATTTGTAATAGAGTTAGATGTTTTGTTTTGTTTCGTTTTTGAGAGAGAGTCTTGCTCTGTCATCCAGGCTGGAATACATGGTGTAATCTCGATTCACTGCAACCTCCGCCTCCCGGGTTCAAGCGATTCTCTTGCCTCAGCCTCCCAAGTAGCTGGAATTACAGGTGCCCGCCACCATGCCTGGCTAATTTTTTGTGTTTTTGGTGGAGACAGGGTTTCTTCATGTTGGCCAGCCTGGTCTCGAACTCCTGACCTCAGGTGATCTTCCTGCCTCAGCCTCCCAAAGTGCTGGGATTACAGAGTTAGATAATTTCATTGCAGTCTGAATTCTGTTCTGATATCCCCCAGTCTCCTGGTTGATTTTTTAAAATTGCACATATGGAAGTTCATTGTGTTATGTATTTAAACAAATGCATAGCACAGTGTCCATTAATACAGTATGATGCAGATTAGTTCCACCACCCTAAAATATCCTCTGTGTTTCCATTACTCAAACAGTACCACTTCTGCAAGCCCTTGGAATCCACTGGATCAGTTTTTGTTCTTATAGTTTTGCATTTTTTCAGTATGTCATATAAATGAAATCATGTAGTATGTGGCCTTGTTAATCTGGTTTCTTTTACTTAGCAAAATGCATTTAAGAATCATTGATATTGCTGTGTGTAGATTAATAGCCTATTATCTTTATCTCAGAAGAGTATAGAGATACCACAGTTTGTTTATCCATTCACCTATTGTTTCCTTCGATTTCTTGGTGATAATGAATAAAGCTGTTATAAATGTTCTTGTGCAGGTTTTTGTGTGAACAAAAATTTTCAAGTCAGTTGGGTAAATACCTAGGGATATGATTGCTGAATTGTATAGTAACTGCATATTTAATGTTATAAGACACCGCAAAACTGTCTTCCAAAGTGACTACGTTTCCACCATTTATGTTTGCTAAAGCAAAGAATGAGTTTCTCAAGTCTATTCCATTGATCTATGTATTCATGCTTTCACCAATGCTACACTTTTATTATTATTGTAGCTTTGTAGTAAGTTTTCAAATTGGGTAGTGCAAGCCTTCTAACTTTATTCTTTTTTTTCAGTATCATGTTGGCTACTTTAGGTTTTTTGCCTTTCCATATAAAGGTTAGAATCAGTTTGCCAATATCAAAATGAATGGTTTGCTGGAATATTGACTGGGATTTTGTTGAATGAATAGATGAAGTTAGAATATTGAAATCTTAACAATTTTGAGTTCTGCTATCCATGAGCATGGACATTCCATTTACTTAAATCTTTGATTTTTAAAAAAATCAGTATTTTATATTGTTCACATATATATGCTATACGGATCCTGCTGATTTTATATCTATGGATTGCTGAATTGTATAGTAAGTATATTAAAAATTTTAAAAGTATGCTATAGTATACTTTACTTCAAAAAAATTGCTAAAGTTAGTTTGCTAAAGTATGCTAAAATCTTAATATATATCATTTGTAATAACATAGAAAAATAAAGTATATATTTTTTTAATTTTAAATTTTATTTATTCATTGCTGGTATAAGAGGAAGTTATTGTTTTGCACATTCCTTTGTAACCTGTGCCCTTGATTGATAAGTTTATATATTAGCTCCAAGAGATATTTTGTTAGCTTGCCCACCCCAACTCCTGTCATAGGTTCTTTGGGGTTTCTCTATAGACATTTATGTCATCAGCAAGTAATAATAGTTTTGTTTCATCCTTTCCAATTTGTGTAACTTTTAGTTAATTATCTTAACTTATGACACTAACTAGTACTTCCAGCGCAATGTTTCCTAGGAGTGGTAAGAGAGGATAAGGGAGGAAGCATTTTGTCTCTTACCATTAAGTATGACATTAGCTGTAATTTTCTTTCTTGTTGTTTGTTTTTTAACAGGGGTCTCACTCTGTCTTCCAGGCTGGAGTGCAGTGGTGTGATTACAGCTCCTTGAAGCCTCGAACTTCTGGGATCAATCAATCCTCCTGGCTCTGCCTCCCAAATAGGTGGGACTATAGGCACATGCCACCACAACCAGCTAATTTTTAAAAAATTCTGCAGGGACGAGATCTTGCTTTGTTGCTCAAGCTGATGTCGCACCCCAAGGCTCAAGTGATACACCTCAGCCTCCCAAAGGGCTGGGGTTACAGGCATGAACCATCATACTTGGCAGTTGAAAGCTTTTCACACTTATCCTTTATTAGGTTAAGATAGTTCCCTTCTACTGCTAGGTTTTTGAGAATTTTTATCATGAGCGAGTATTGCATGTTATTGATCAATTCCTGCACCTATTGATATGATTATACTATTTTTCTTCTTAGGCCTGTTAACATGGTGAAATAAATTGATTAACTTAGGAAGGTTAAACCAGTTTTGTATTCTTGAATAGACCCCATGGGCCACAGTGTATAATTATTTTTATACATTGTTGGATTTAATTTGCTAATATTTTTTGAAGATTTTTATGGCTATGTACATGAACAATAATTGTCTGTTGTTGTTTCTTTTCCATATCACCTTTTTTTTTGGTTTTAGTTCTTTCCCGTATATTTTCTGGAGAAAAACTGTAGGATTAGAATTATTTATTTCTTAAATGCTTGGCTGATTTCTGTCTTAGTCCATTTTGTACTACCATAACAAAATACCTGGGACTAAGTAAATTATAAAAAATAAAAAAATTATTTTATCACAGTTCTGGAGGCTGGGAAGTCCAAGATCAAGTCATCCGCAGGTTTATTTGTCTGCTGAGTGTTTGGTCTCTGCTTGCAGGATGGTGCCTTAAATGCTGCATACTCTGGATGGGGAAATGTTGTGTCCTCACATGGCAGAAGGTGAAAGGGCAAAAGGGACAAACTGCCTCTATCAAGCCCTTTGTAAGGGCAGCTAATCCCATTCTGAAGGGTTTCACCCTCATGACTTAATCACCTTTTGAAGATGATATCTTTTAATACTGCTACTTTGGTCGTTACAGTTATACATGAATTTTAGAAGGGGGACAAGCACTAAAATCACATTAAGTTCACCAGTTAAATAGTCTAAGCCTGGTACTTCTTTTTGGAATATTTTTAGTTACTAATTCAATTTGTTTGATAGGTATAGGTTTGTTCAGGTTGTCTATTTCTGTTAGTAAATTTTGGTGGTATGTGTCCTTCAAGGAATTCATCTGTTTTATCTAAGTTGCTGAATTTATGAGCATAGGGTTGTTCATGGTATTCTTTTATTATACTTAATGTTCTAGGATCTGTAGTGATGACCCGCCTCTTTTATTTCTGATAGTGGCACTTCATATCTTTGCTCTCTCTCTTTTATTGGTTGGCTTTGATTGCTAGAGTTTTATCAATTTTATTCATCTTTTGTCTGGCTGCTTCGTATATTTTCTCGTATTTAGTGTTCTGCAGTTTGAATATGATATGGCTAGGGGTGTGTTTGTGTGTGTGTGTGTGTGCAGGCATTTGTGTGTGTATTTATCTTGCTTGGTGTTCTCTGAGCTTCTTTGATCTATGGTTTGGTGTTTGTAACTATTTTTAGAAAATTTTAAGCTATTATTTCTTCAAATATATCTTTTGACACATCTGCTCTTTCTTCTTCTAGTATTCCAATTTTTTATATGTTACATGGTTTCATATTGTCCCGCAATTCTTGGATGTCTCTTTTTGCCATTTACTTCTCTTTGCATTTTAGTTTGGGAAATTTATATAAACCTGTCTTCAAGGTCACCGATTTCTTCCCCAGCCTTGTCAAGTCTACTCAAGGAATTCCTAAAAGGAGTTTTTGTTTTCTGTGTTTTTGCTTGTTTGTTTTGGTTCTAGAATATTTCTTTGATATTTTCCAATGGTTACCATCTTTGTTCTGATACTAACCACTTGGTTTTTCATTCTGCCCTCCTTTTCCATTAGAACCTTAACATATTAACCATAGTTTTTTAAATTGTCTGATAATTTCAACATTGTGTCATATCTGAGTTTGTATCTTCCAATTACTTTCTCTATTTACACTGTATTATTTTTGCCTTTTGAAATGCCTTTACATTTTTTCCTGGAAGCCAGACATGTTGCACAGGGTAGTAAATATTGAGTTAAACAGACCTTTAGTGTGTGGATTTATTGTAATGTGGCCAAGAGTTGGATTGTATTTTGTATTTGTTGTGGCTATGGGCACAGGAGGTTCAAATTCCTCTTTTTTGGACTGTTTTTGTTTGTTTGTTTTTTGTCTTCCCTTTTGGCTTTAGGTTTCCCTTTGTACTATTTCTTAGAGAAAGTCTGTCTCTTGCTGCTCTCCCAATTGGAATTCACTGTTTCTGTTCCTGGAGGCTTATTATTATGGCAGTGATGTCATGTGGGGGAGGAAAAGCTTTCTATAATCCTCAGATTAGATCCTAGTCTTTGGAGTGCCTTGTGAACCTTTGCCTAGGAGATGTGGCCTTCACAAGTGTTTCTCTTCTTTCTCTAGTGGTAGAGCTTTTTCTGCTTTCGTACTTCTAATCATTCACTCACTGCAGTGATCCTCTAGTAACTCTGGTCTGTGTCCTTAAGTTCTTCTCCTCTGTACATTTATTCTTTTACATTTTTCTTTAAGTGGCAAATGGAGGCTGTGGCAGAGAAATTTTCCCTTCATCAAGCTTGAATGGGATTTCTTTGGTGCCAGCTGGTGACATCAGACCTCAGAGATTAGGCCTTTTGTTTCCTAAGGGAGAAAGGATTTGGCAATGGCTACTCTTTCCCTCCCCAAGTGAGGGTCTTGAGTGTATGGAAGGTGTGGAACTGAGGGGCTTTCTTAGGATTCTTAATCCTCTGAATCAAGCCTCCAGTAATCCATCAGAATTTCTAATTTAATGTTTCTTATGGCTTATATGGCATCTTCCTAGTGACTTCTGTTCCAGGTAAGTAAGTGCCTGGTTTTTGTTCCTGGAGAAGTCTGTTTCTCCACTTTTGGGATAGTGGTTTGCCCTGCAATCTCAGTTATCTGAGGTGTCCAAAAAAGGTGTTAATACTCAGCTCGTCCAGCTTTTTCTTGATGTAAGGCTAGTAATGATGGAATTCAAGGTCTTTATATCTCTGAGATGAAACTAAAGTCCCTGCAATGCAGTTTTAATAAATTATGGCATCTTATTTTTAAATTATGAGTCAGTGGCAACTTGTCTCTTCATTCAGATTCTACTCTCCTCCAAGGTTCAAATATTCATTATCCTCAACTACAGTATATAACATCCATCAAATATTTACCCAAGTCATTGTATTAGTTATTTATTATTGTTTAGGTTGAGAATTAAAATGGGTTTAGAGATTACTTCTCCATTTCCTTTCATGTTAGAGACTAGGATATTGATATTGATTGTATGACCCACTAAAGTTCATTCAGAATTTATGATATAATTGAGGATTCTGGCTCCTTTCTTGGTCTACAAAATGTAGGAATTAGCAATAAACACATTACCTGACATTTCTATTTATCCCCAGCAGCTGTAGTTTTAATCAAATTTATGTTTTACTCCTTTATCAGCTTTTTGTTGAAAATAGTAGTTATTTTAATAATGATGTCTTACATTCAGATCAAAACACTTTATATCTTGTATTTTTGAAACCTATTATAACCTAAATAATTATTATTTTCAATTAGCTTCTATTCTTATTTCAATGAATTTTGAATTCCTACTGTAGTTCAAAAAAGTACATGATTTGTCCAAGCACATGAGGCTTAAATGGAGGAAAAAAATAAGGACAAAAGTGCAGTTCTTATAGTTTTAAACCTCGAATAGACTGCTCTCCACTTGAGAAGCCAGCTGCTTTCAGTATGATGTTGACCACTTCATGTAACTGCCTACAGTATTTTTAGTACAAAAGAATGCACACCTGCTTTGCAGCTTTGTAAAGCATGCTTCTCAGGGTAACCTTCTTCACAAAGTGAGTGCTCAAAAATGTTACCCATCAATCAAGAATTCCCTTCATTTGCAGCTACTTTTGTTAAAGGCTACCACTGCTAAAGGCAAAGCATTAGAAGTGAACAAGAACATATTTTGTAATACTGAAAGTTATTGGACCGTCTTTGAGTAGTAGGTGAATATTTATTGGAATCATACATGTGTATTACACTTTTTATTACCAAGTTTGTACATAATTACACATCTTTTTTGCTCTCCTTATGTACCATTTGCTCCTCTATTATAAGTTTTCTATCTCTATTGTGAATTATGGTTAATAGTGAACATAAGCAATGACTTTCCTTGACTGGAAACACTTTAAGGAAAGATACTATGTTATATGCTTCATTGTATCCACAGAGTTTAACAAAGTGGCTCACTCAGCATAGATACTTAATAGTGCTATGACTTTGAGAAAATTTTCTGGTTTGTATTATGTTTAGCAGATTCTGCGGATGGGTTTTAATCCTCAGAAAGGTTATTCCAGCAGTCCAAGACCCTTTCAACCTTAAATGTTACATTTATTTTCTGCTCAAGTAAATCCTGGTGAGTAGGGGAAAAAAATAAGAAAAATTAAACATTCCATTTTCTTACATACCTAGTGCAAAGAATTAAGGGAGTTAGGATAAACTTACCAGAGCACATATTCAAAGAACTCTGATTAGGTTTGCTTTATTCTGCATCAGCTTTTTCCCCCTCCAACTCAAACTATCCCTTTCTTTATTTGCTGTCGTCTGATAAAATAGTGCAAATAAGTAATATTATTAATCTAATTTCCCCGTTTGCTCTTCAAATTATATATGTGACCACTTTAGCTGCACACTCCACCTATTGGCCTGGCATGGAATGGGATATTGTAGAACTGAGGTTTTCATAGCAATTCAGAGGGTAAGAACACCCGGAAGTCACAGTATCATCTGCAGAATGCCGTGGAATATTCCTCTGCTAAATTCTATTATAGGAATTAAAATAATTTCACTTGCTTCAAATATTATTTGCATACACATGTAAAAAGAGTTACTACACATAATTTTTAAAGAAATTATGTTTCCAAAGTTTTGCCATTAACATGTAATTATTACTTGTTTATTCAGGGTTTTTTGGCCACTTTTGTAATATGTTGTACATATTGACCAAACTATATAATAGTCATCTAAGTCTACTCATTTTGGGGATCTTTATGTGAGAATACCCGCAACTGGCCGGGTGCTGTGGCTCACGCAAGCCTGTAATCCCACCACTTTGGGAGGCTGAGGCAGGTGGATAGCTTGAGCCCAGTTTGAGACCAGCCTGGACAACGTGGCTAAACCTTGTCTCTACCAAACGGGTATTCTTGCCTTATTTCCTGATTTGTAATGGTGATTGTTTCAGTGACCGTTATTTAGTACATATTTGTTGTTGTTAGTTTTTAATAAGAAGCCTACTGTAAGTAGTTTCGTTTTATTCTTGTTTTACATAGCACTTTTATTAATACGGCTCTGGTTTTTATCAACTGCTTTTTCAGCACTTATTGATACGACTATGAGGCTTTCCTACTCTCCTTTTTGATAGAATTGATAATGTTGATTTTTTTAATAATAATCAATCCATCCTTGTATTCCCAGAATAAATGCTACTTAAACATAATGTGCTATTCTTCTGACTCTAGTTTCTGAGATTTTATTTTGAATGCTTCATCTCTATCACTAAGTGAGATTGGGCTATACTTTTACCTGTCGTTGTCAGGGTTGATATTAATGTCTTGGTAGCTTCATAAAATACAGTGGAGAGTTTTTCATCTTTTTCTATTCACCTGAAATACTTGAGATTACTTTGAAATTAACTATTTTTCACCTTAAAATAATATCACCTGTAAATCCCTCTGGTTCTTGTGACCTTTAAAAATGTTAATTTGGAAAAATTTAATCTTTTATTAAGGTATAAAGTATTATATAATGTACCTCTTCATACTCACCACCCAGCTTTAACTCAAGTAGGAGTTTTAGTTCACAGGGAACTTCAAACACCAATGATGGTTTTTGAGTTTTTAACATATATGTTATGATAGCAATGAGTTTCAATTGCTTTTGAAAAGCTAGACATTTTGCTCAAATATAAAGTTGAATTAATCTGTGACTTTCTTAAGGAAGTTCATCAAATATTAATCGATAATAGTACAACACCACACCTCCCCTTTGGAGGGTGGGGACAAAAGTCTCGAACTGGACTCAAATCCTGGCTTCCTAGATTACCAGTCCTTCAGTCTCAGTTTCCTTGCCTGTAAAGTTGAGATAATGTTACTGGTTGCTTCCTAGGATGGCTGTTAAAAATAAATTAGATATTACATATGAGACATTTATGGTAGATATTGAGGGGCACCATCCAGATACTTCAGGACTGAGGGACTCATTCTTACAGCTGCTGAGAGTTAGCTGGTGGTAGCTCACAACTGAGTCCCTTCATGGGATCTCCCTCAGCTGAAGGGAACTGCTTTGAACAAGGTTATGCCCCGTCTTAAGGACAGTACAAAGCCAAAAATTGTGATTCTGTCTAGTCTTCTTGGCTCAGTTTAGGATAACTCTGAAGGGCCATCCAACTTCCAAGCTCCTCATGGCATCAGACGAAGCCTCTGTTGCAGCTACTGTACCCAACTTCTCTTGCTGCCTAGTCCTGTTTGTTTCCCTTCCTCTCTCTCAGGAGTTGGTAACAAGAGAATGACTGATAAGACTACTGCATTCCATCTAACCCAAGAGTATGTTTCCAAGAGAGCATAGCCTAAGACAATGCTTAAAATACTGTCTAGTAAATATTCAGTAAATGCTAACTGTTATTACAAACTACTATTATTATTATCATAGATCTCAGTGCTAATTTTTTGCAGCTAACCTCATAAAGTCAGCCCCATGGTGCAGGGGTGGGGTTCACTTACTTTCTTTCCACTGGAATCACATTTGTTTCACACTGGTGTTTATATTCTGACTCTGCGAAGATTGATGGTATAAGAAGCTTTACAGCTCCTAACACAGAGGATTTTTCCACCTAAGAAAAATGGCATCTACTATGCAACATCATTGAATACCACCAAGAAGCAGTAAAACTCAGTATTTGTGTTTTGTAATCTAAAGCTCAGTATGCTGTAGGCTACGTTGTTGCAAGCTGGCAGACAAAACATGTTAAAGCCAAAAGTTAAAGGATAAAAAGAAAATGGGCTTAAAATGTGAGAAAATATTGATTAACATTTTCTCTAATTCTGGATTTTAGTCAGGAACCTTCTTAATCCAGCTTGTAGGAACCTACATTGAAATCTGTGTGTGTGTCGGAGGTGTAATGTAGATCTATGTGGTTAAGTGCAGACTACTTGAAATACATAAGCAGATATATTTCATTCAACATATGTACATCAAGGAAGGGAAACAATCAATTATGTGGCTATTGTGGTTAACTGAAGATGAGTGTTGGCGCCTAAATTTGGTATGAGGGGGATGGAGTATTTTTATTTGCTTGATATTTTTTCCCTAAGAAAATAGATTTAACATCCATCCCAAATATTCTGACTAGTAATTCACAGAAGTATCAGAAAAACCTGATAGACTAACAAATTGACATCTACATGATTTTTATTTTACTATTCTTATTGTATTTAAGTTTTGAATTTAATCTCATCAAATTAAGGTATATGATTCACTTATTCTTTGGTCAGTGATCAGTGTATTTTGTCTACAATTATTTGTACTGAAAGAAAATTTACAATACACATGAGAACATTTTATTACATCCTTCTGAAAGATCGTTATTAAAGTTTGGATCTCCATTTCTTACACTTGTGCTGGAATTAAATGGTTTAGTCATGTCACCAATCAATTAACTCTTTTAATATTCCTTTCAAGAATCTCTGGAATCCTGGGCAATGCTGAAGGAAAAAGGAGACTGATACAGCAATGGGTTATATACTGACCCAAGAAAACACCAAATTTTCTTTTCGTATTGAGCATTTCAAGGGGAAAAAATAAAGTCAATGCTTAATTATATAAACTAAATGTGTATACACAATGAGCCCAATGGAGAACAAGATCTCTAATCTCTACAAAAAAATTGGATGATATCAGAAATGAAGGGCCAAGGTTAAGCATACTGCTGAAATAGCACAAGTTTATTATCTTTTTGCAGCCAATTTCATAAAATTACTCTGATTAGAAAAACACTAAAGGTTCTAGTAATAATGCAGTACAGAAATGTTGTTCTTAGGCTTCACAGGAAATGCAAATTCCAATGTAAGACAGATTGATAAGCATCATGTCTGGCTTTTGAGGCAAATTTAAATTTCTAAGAGGAAAGAAGTTGAATAAGTTATTCCAAAACATTAGGCTTATTTCCAAGGCAGCTGTTTTATTTCATGAATTGTGTAGTTGGGCTCTGAAGACACAACAGAGGTATCTCCATTGATAGATTGGCTTGAAATTTGATTGGCAACAGTCATGTTCCAATTTGGGCACCTTCAAATAAACAGAAAGCAGTCCAGAGAAAGGAATTAAAATAAAGTTGGCAATAAAATACAGTGGTATTAGAGACTACTAGACTGGTAAGTAGGATTAATCTCAAGGCTGGAGAGTTATTTAAAAATACACTGTGACATATGCCAAACTAGAAATTGGAGAATCAACTCTGGTGCCCTCTACGGCTCTGTCTGATTTTGAAACCAGAACTATAAAACTATTGAACTGCTACACCAAGATACAGCATGATTCACATTTCTCCCAAGAGCAGTCCAAAATTGGCCTTCAATTTTGTCTCCAGATACATATCTTCCCGCATGATTGTCACCCCTTCTTTTGTTTTGTTTTGTTTATTTTGTTTCTTTCTTTCTCTTTCTTCTTTCCTTTTATTCTTCTGCTCTTTCTCTCATTCTTTCTTCTTTTTCATTTAGTTTTATTCAACAGGATCTGAAATGGCCATAAGAATAATTCTGTTCCATGTTGTTTGCTTTTTTTAAAAAATCTGGATGGACTCTAGTCAGAATGGTAAAAGGCATATTATAATTTCAAGTCAGCAAATATTCAGTAATCACTTGTTATAAATTAGGGGAAAGTGAAAGTCTGATATTTATAAGGTAGCTAGTTCATGTGTAGCCTATCCAAGGAAATTCCACGTAGACCATATCAATTACTCCTCACAACAACCCTGGGAGATCTGTATATGAGTCCTCATTTTGACAGTTAAGAAAAATGAAGTTCAGAGAGTCACAACCTAGGAAACAGGAACCACTTTTAGTGTGGCATAATAGAGGCAGCCAAACCAAATCCCCCTCAAAGAATTTGTATATTTACTGGGGAGAAGAGATAAAAACATATGAAAATTTAAAAATATGGCAGAGTAGACACTTTATTGACAGAGTGTTTAGCATATTATCTGACATATAGTCATTCTACCATATTTGGAAGAAACAGGATTTGACAAATAACTGTCCTAGTATTCAGGAAAGATATAATGGACAAATTGGGATTTAAATTCTACAAAGGGCACTTGAAAACTTAGTGGAGCATATCGAAGCAGAGAGGATGTGAAAGGCATCGGCAATGGTAGAACTCCATTTGCAGGTGTGCAAAGACCCATCCATAAGTGGATCATCAAAGGTGGGTTAGGAAGAAAACAGTCTATTAGTATGATTGTAAGAGTTTAGTGGGAGAAAAATTAACATTAAGATTAAAGTTAGGCTGGGTGCCGTGGCTCACGCCTGTAATCCCAACATTTTGGGAGGCTGAGGTGGGTGGATTGCCTGAGGACAGGAGTTCGAGACCAGTCTGGCCAACATAGTGAAACTCCATCTTTACTAAAAATACAAAAAAAAAAAAGACCAAAAAATTAGCCAGGCATGGTGGCACGCGCCTGTAATCCCAGCTACTCGGGAGGCAGAGGCAGGGGAATCGCTTGAACCAGGGAGGTAGAGGTTGCAGTGAGCTGAGATTGCGCCACTGCACTCCAGCCTGGGTGACAGAATGAGACTCCGTCTCAAAAAAAAAAAAAGATTAAAGTTAGTCCATATATGTTATATTTCAGCTTATGTTATCAATTTCATTAGCATTTAAAATATTTATTGAAGAATTAACAGAGGTCTTCTATTAATCTGACATGGTAAAACAGAAGAGGAGGAACAATCATAGACATGAGAAAGGAGACACTGTAGGTGACGTAAATTAAAATTTTATAAACAAGGTATTTTTTCTGTGGATTTAATATTGGGAGATTTTTGAAACTGGTTATTATACATCTATCTTACCTCCTATATTAGTTTCATTTTGTTATTGTTACAAGTTTCCATAAACTTGGTATCTTCCAACAGCACAAATGTATAATCATACATTTTTGGAGGCCAGAATTTCAAAGTCGTTCTCAGGAAGCCAAACTCAAGGTATTCACTGGGCTGTGTTTTTTTCTGGGGACTCCAGGGGGATTTCATGTCCTTGAATTTTCTAGCTTCTAGAGGCTACCTGCATTCCTTGGCTTATGGCCCCCTTCTGGAATCTCATCACTCTGACCTCTGCTTCCCTCATCACATCTTTTCTGACTCTGATTCTCTTTCCTCCCTCTTTCATTTATAAGGACCCCTGTGATTACATTGGTAGCCCATCTAGATAGTTTAGTATAAATCTTCTTAGCTCAAGATCTTTAATTCATTTACCTCTGCAAAGTCCCTTTTGCCCATGTAAAGAAACATATTCATAGGTTTCTGAGATTAGGACGTGGACATCTTTAGGTGATGATTATTTTGTTGATAACACCAATACATGACAAAAACACCACTTTAGATCCATCCATCCGTCCATTATAAATGGGGAAATGCAGCATAAATATAGATGTATATTGACCATCCATATCTCTTTGCCACTTTGAGCATCTGTTAAACCCTCTGAGCTTCAACACCATCATTTAGAAAACTGAAATATTTACTCACTTCTAAGTTCTGTTGTGGACATTAATAAGATAGTATAGATGAAAATGTCTGGAGCAACACATGTTACAAAATATTAACTAAAATAGCAACAACAACAATAATGGCATTCTGTGGTTAGTGCCAACAGATTTAATAAGCAATAGTTATACTGAAGTGCATAATATAGGCCAAGTGGTAAACTGAAAAATTTTTATTAATTCAAAGAGAACTACTTTGCGATAGTAAAAGCATTACTAAGAATAATGAGTCTATTTATTCAAGTATCTTATCAATTCTGACTCCACTTCACTGATGAACATTCTCAACTTCCTTTTTAGTATTTTCAATACAGAGAGTGAGTTTGGTGTGCCAAAATATTTCCAGAGTTAAATCATCAGAAATTTCAGGCTAATCCTGGAATTTGTAAACTCAATGCCAATCTTTGAAGGATGCTTTTGGGTAAGTACAGTTTGCTTTTAGTTCAGGCAGATCCTCTTAAAATTACACCATATCAATGTGAAAGATGTTTGGTAACTTAGATATATCCTGAGGTTTATATTCAAAGACAGACACAGATACTTGCAACATAATTCATACTTATAAATCCTTGAATATCTTCAAAAATGCTAACATAATTCCCACCAAATACTTCTAAGATTCTTCAGAATGTGTTATTTATTTGAGCTCAAGGCAAATCTGTAATGAGAAATAAATGGAGTCTCCAGATGTCATCTGTTCCATCCACATGCCCAATTTACATCTGCATATCTGCATACCTGCACTCTGTGAATAAATAAGCACTGCTCTCCATTATTCTTGAGTATTCTTTTAAGCTTAAAGCTTCAAGTTTATTATGTCCAGCCATCTTGACATGTCAGCAAGAAAGTAAAATCTTGTGTCACTGGGGGTTCAATAAATTGGATCTTTCAGAAACTTTGTGGTCCCCAAAGACCTCTTTAAAGAAAGTACCATAGAATTCAGAATGTGGATAGGAAAAAAGATTGTTGAGATTCAGGAGAAGAGCAAAACCTAATCCAAGAAAAATAAGAATCACACCAAAATGATACAGAAGCTGACAGACAAAATAGCTAGTATATAAAAAAGAATTTAACTGATCTGATAGAGCTGAAAAACACACTACAAGAATTTCACAATACAATCACAAGTATTAACAGCAGAATACAGCAAGCTGAGGAAAGAATCTTGGAACTTGAAGACTGGCTCTCTGAAATAAGACAGACAAAAAATAAAGAAAAATAATGAAAAGGAATGAACAAAACCTCCAAGAAATATGGGATTATGTAAAGAGGCCAAATCTATGAATTGGTGGCATCCCTGAAAGAAACAGGGAGAAAGAAAACAACTTGGAAAACATGTTTCAGGATATCATCCATGAAAACTTCCTTAACTTCACTAGAGAGGCCAGCAACCAAATTCAGGAAATACAGAGAACCACCACAAGATTCAACACAAAAGGATTATCCTCGAGACACATAATCATCAGATTTTCCAAAGACAAAATGAAAGGATGTTACAGGCAGCTAGAGAGAAAGGGTGGGTCACTTACAAAGGGAACTTCATCAGGCCCAAATTGGAACTCTCAGCAGAAACCCTATAAGCCAGAAGAGATTGAAGGCCTATATTCAACATTCTTAAAGAAAAAAATATTCAACCAAGTATTTCATATCCAGCTAAACTAAGTTTCTTCAGTGAAGGAGAAATAAGATTATTTTCAGAGAAGCAAATGATGAGGGAGTTCAATACCACCAGATCTGCCTTACAAGACATCTTGAAAGGAGCACTAAATATGTAAAAGAAAGACCATTACCAGGATGTATTAGTCCATTTTTCACACAGCTATAAAGAAATATTGGAGACTGGGTAATTTATAAAGGAAAGAGTTTTAATTAACTCACAGTTCTGCATGGCTGCGGAGGCCTCAGGAAACATAAAATTGGAGTGGAAGGCAAGGGGAAGAAAGCACCTTCCTTGCAAGGTGGCAGGAGGAGAGAGAAGAGGGTAGGGAAAACAGGAATTTATAAAACCATCAGATCTTGTGAGAACTCACTCACCATCATGAGAACAGCATGGAGGAAACCACTCCGATGATCCAATCACTTCCCTCCCTTGAAACGTGGGGATTACACATCCCTCCCTGGACATGTGAGGATTAAAATTTCATATGATATTTGGGTGGGGACACAGAGCCAAACCATATCACAGGCACTACAAAGACACGCTTAAATACAAAGATCAGTGACACTACAAAGCAACCACACAAACAAGCTGGCATAATAAGCAGCTAACAACACAATATCAGGATCAAATCCACACATGTCAATACTAACGTTGAATGTGAACACTCTAAATGCTCAAATTAATAGGCACAGAGTAGCAAGGTGAATAATAAAAGCAATACCCAATGGTATGCTGTCTTCAAGCATGCATTCACATGCAATGACGCTTAGGCTCAAAATAAAGGGATGGTGAAAAATCTACCAAACAAATGGAAATGAGAAAAATAGCAGGTATTGAAATCCTAATTTCAGAGCAAACAAACTTCAAACAACAACAACAAAAAGCCAAAGAAGGGCATGACATAATGGTAAAGGGTTCAATTCAACAGTAAAACCTGACTACCCTAAATATATATGCAGCCAACACGGGAGCACCCAGATTCATAAAACAAGTTCTTAAAGACCTACAAAGAGACCTAGACTCCCACACAAAAATAGTGAATGAATTCAACACTCCCCTGACACTATTAGATAAATCATCAAGGCAGAAAACAAACAAAGATATTCAGGACCTGAACTCAGCATTGACCAAAAAGATATGATAGACCTTTTTAGAACTCTCCACCTCAGAACAATACAATATATACTCTTCTCATCACCACATGACAAATACTCTAAAATCGACCACAGAAACGGGCATAAAACAATCTTCAGCAAATGCAAAGGAACCAAAATCATTCCAAACACACTCTTAGACCACAGCACAATAGAAACAGAAAGCAGGACTAAAAATAAAAATACTCAAAACCATTCAATTACACGGAAATTAAACAACCTGCTCCTGAATAACTTTTGGGTAAATAATGAAATTAAGTAAGACAGCAATAAGTTATTTGAAACTAATGAGAACAGAGATACAGCACAGCAGAATCTCTGGGTCAAAGCTAAGATAGTGTTAAGAGGGGAATGTATAGCCCTAAACACTCACATCAAAAAGTTAGAAAATCAAATTAAAAACCTAATATCAGAACTAAAAGAAGTAGAGAAGCAAGAATAAACCAACCCCAAAGCTAGCAGAAGATAAGAAATAATCAAAATCAGAGCTGAACTGAAAGAAATTGAGACACACACACACACACACACACACACACATTCAAAAGATCAATAAATCCAGAAATTGTTTTCTTTGAAAAAAATTAATGAGATACGTTATTAGCTAGACTAATAAAGAAGAAAAGAGAGAAGATCCAAATAAACACTATTAGAAATGAGAAATGGAATTTTGCCACTGAATCCACAGAAACACAAACAATAATCAGAGATTACTATGAACATCTTTATGCACACAAACTAGAAAACCTAGAAGAGGTGGATTAATTCCTGGACAGATACACACTCCCAAGACTGAACCAGGAAGAAATTGAATCCCTGAATAGACCAATAATGATCTCTGAAATTGAAGCAATAATAAATAGTCTATGAACCAAAAAAAGCAGAGGACCAGATGAATTCACAGCTGATTCCTGCCAGGTGTACAAAGAGCTGGTACCATTCCTATAGACACTATTCCACAATATTGAGTAGGAGAAACTCCTCCCCAACTCATTCTAAGAGGCCAGCATCATCCTGATACCAAAACCTGGCAGAGACACACACATGCAGAAGAAAACTTCAGGCCAATATCCTTGATGAACATTGATGCAAAAATCCTCAACAAAATACTTACAATCCAAATGCAGTAGCACATCAAAAAGTCCATTCACCATGATCAAGCAGGCTTTATTCCTGGGATGCAAGGTTGGTTCAACATAAGCAAATCAATAAATGTGATTCATCACATAAAGAGAACTAAAGACAAAAACCACATGATTATCTCAATAGATGCAGAAATGACTTTCAGTGAAATTCAACACCTCTTTATGTTAAAAACTCTCAATAAATTAGGTAGTGAAGGAACATACTTCAAAATAGTAAGAGCCTTCTATGACAAACCCATAGCCAATATCATGCTGACTGGGCAAAAGCTGGAACAATTCCCCTTGAAAACTGGCACAAGACAAGGATGCCCTCTCTCGCCATGCCTATTCAACATAATATTGGAAGTACTGGCTAGAGCAATAAGGCAAGAGAAAGAAATAAAGGGCATCCAAATAGGAAGAGAGGAAGTCAAACTTTCCCTGCTTAGAGACCACATGATTCTATATCTAGAAAACCCCATAGTCTCAGCCCAAAAGCTCCTTCAGCTGATAAACAACTTCAGCAAAGTTTCAGGATACAAAATCAATATACAGAAATCACTAGCATTCCTATAAACCCACAACAGCCAGGACGAGAGCCAAAGTAGGAAAACAATTCCAATCACAATTGCCACAAAAACAATAAAATACCTAGGAATACAGCTAATGAGCCAGAAGAAAGATCTCTACAATAAGAAGTGCAAAACTCTGGTCCAAGAAATCAGAGATGACACAAACAAATGGAAAAACATTCTATTCTCATGGGTAGGAAGAATCAATATCATTAAAATGGTCATACTGCCTAAAGCAATTTACAGATCCAATGCAATTCCTACCAAACTACCAAGCGACATTCTCCACAGAACTAAACAAACCTACTTTAAATTTGATATGGAGCCAAAAAAGCCCAAATAGCCAAGGCAATCCTAAGCAAAAAGACCAAACTGGAGGCATCACACTATGCAACTTCAAACTATACTACAAGGCTACAGTAACCAAAACAGCATGGCACTGGTACAAAAACAGGCATATAGACCAATGGAATGGAATAGACAGCCCAGAAATAATGTGACACATCTACACCCATCTGATCTTTGACAAAGCTGACAAAAACAAACAATGTGGAAAGGACACTTTATTCAATAAATTGTGCTGGGATAACTGGCTGGCCATAGGCACAAGATTGAAACTGGACTCCTTCCTTACACTATATACAAAAATAAACTCAAGATGAATTAAAGACTTAAATGTAAAAACCTGGAGGACAATGTAGGCAGTAACATTCTGGACATAGGAACTGGCAAAAATTTCATGATAAAGATGTTAAAAACAATTACAACCAAAGCAAAAATTGACAAATGGGATCTAATTAAACTTAAAAGCTTCTGCACACCAAAAGAAACTATCAACTGAGTGAATAAATAACCTACAGAATGGGAGAAGATATTTGCAAACTGTTTACCCAACAAGGTTAATATCCAGAATTTATAAGGAACTTTAACAAATTTACAAGAAAAAAACCAAACAACTTCATTAAAAAGTGGGCAAAGAACATGAAGAGACACTTTTCAAAAGAAGACACACATGCAGCCAAACATAATGTGAAAAAAAAGATCCATATCACTGATCATTAGAGAAATGCAAATCAAAACCACAATGAGATATCTTCTCACATGAGTCTGAAAGGCTACTATTAAAAATCAGAAAAATAACAGACACTGGTGAGGTTGTGGAGAAAGGGAAACACTTATGCACTGTTGGTGGGAGTGTACGTTTGTTCACCCATATGGAAAGTACTTTGGCAATTTCTCAAAGAACTTGGAAGAGAACTACCACTCAACCCAGTAATTCCATTATTGGGTATATAACCAAAAGAATATACATTTATTCTACCACAAAGATGCATGCATGTGTATGTTAGTTGCAGCACTATTCACAATAACAAAGACATTGAATCAACCTAAATGCCCATCAATGGTAGACTGAATAAAGAAAATGTGGTTCATATAATCCATGGAATACTACACAGCCATAAAAAAGAATGAGATCATGTCCTTTTCAGCAACATGGATGAAGCTGTATGTCATTATCCTATGTCAAATAATACAGAAACAGAACTCCAAATACGTCAAGTTCTCACTTATAAGAGGGAGCCAAACATTGAATATACATGAGCACAAAGAAGCGAACAACAGACACCAGGGCCTACTTGAGGGTAGAGTGTGGGAGGAGGGGGAGGATCGAAAACTGCCTATCAGATATAGTGTGCTTATTGCCTGGGTGATGAAATTATCTGTACACCAAAGCCTGTGACATGCAATTTACCTATATAACAAACCTGCACTTGTACCTCTGAACCTAAAATAAAAGTTGACAAAATAAAGCACCTCGGGAAAGTTTTTTAACCTTGACACTTGACCGCATTAAAATAAGGAAAGTATCCATACTCTGTCTCAAAATAACCAATAACTGGAAAATAAATGACACCACCAACATCACACTTTCAGTATCCCAACCTAAAAATTTTGCCACATAAAGTTCTGTGGCAAATGGCTTTGTGAGAGGTGACAGCTGGGTACACCGACCCTTTCCTTTGGCGTGAAACTTTATTTTAAACGTCTATTTAAAATGGTTCCTTTCAATATATGCGCTAAATCTGTAGCCAATGGAACCTGTTTCTTCTACATTTCATCTAAGTATCTACAACTTCTTACCAGCTGTGATTATGTTCTGCTAATTATATGCAATATAGTTAGTAAAGTAATGTTTCCCTAATACCCCAGATGGGTCGTATGTGGACTCAGGGCATATGCTTGAGGGTAAAACCCAAAAATACAGTTTTATCAGGTCAGGTTGTATATAGGTATAGGTGAATGTATCATTTGACTGTATATAAGTAAAAACAATTGAGCTGAAGATACAATATGGAAGAAAGTTACCTATGTAACTTTATGTCTTTTTTTTTTTTAACCTTAACCTGGCAGGCTTTTATTCAAGTTCCTCTTTAGGACAACGGTTCTTTCAAAAGTGTGGCAATTTCAAATAACTTTATGTCTTATATGCCAAATCCTCTTCTAAGAACTTCACATACTCAATTACATAATTTCTTCTTAACAATAAATGTTAATATATACTAGATGGAGGTAAGTGCCATAGAGTACAATGAGGCAGGGAAGTGGGATAAAGAGTGTGGAAAGAGATGTGATACAATTTTAAAGATGTGGTTAAGGAAAAAAAGGTCACTGTTGAACAGAGTCTTAAAGTAGGTTATTGAGTAAGCCACAAGGATACATATCTGAGGCAAGAGCATTAAATATAGAGGAAAGCCTGTGTAAAGGCCGCCAGGAGGGAGTGTGTCTGATGTGTACTACAAGAACTGCAAAGGACTGATTTGGCAGGAGGACAAGTAGGAAAGTAAGGCAAAGATTAAAGGGAGAGTGGAGGATAAAGTATGTGTGTATAAGGCTTTGTATGTTATAGAAAGGGCTGTGGCTTTTGCCCTTATGAAGAAGGCATGCCCTGTTTGCCCCCGCAGATAATCTGTTCACCTTTCCCCTTTCTTCTCTCTTTGGGCTTTGGGAGGCAGAATCTGTGAACTGTACCATTCTGGATACCTTGCCCTGTGGCTTCCATTCAGGTCTGGCCAATTGGAAGGATGTAATAGCAGGAGAATGGAGAAATAAGAACCTCTATCCTGGTCATGTGTAGCCACAGCTTCTTTCAGGCAAACTTCTCCCATGGCTCTCACTGTGTCTTGGCAAAATTGTTCCTTGCCTTTGTCTATTCAGACCTGGGCGAGGAAAGCCTTCCTATTGTTCCTAGTTTCTGCTTGTTTTACTGTTCCTTATTGTTTTCTCTAATCCCACAATCTCCAAATATAACCTCACCATTAAATGCTTTCCAGTTAAATTTTTTGAATGCACAATCTCTTCTACTCTCATAAAATTCTTACAGAATCAAACAGAAAGGCATTGCAGGGTTTGGAGCAGAGGAGTAACATGTTCTGATTTATGTTTTAAAAGAGTCATGTTGGCTGTTGTTTTGAAAATTGACTCTAGGGACACAAGTACACATGCAGGGAGACTATCAACAATGACAAACGCTAGTTAGGTACAAAATAAACTAACAGTGATATAAAATATTACCAGAACATTCATATTGTACAGCTGTATTAAAGATCTCATTATTCTGAAAATTTGTCAACCCTGAGTATTATAACTGCTTGTGTTTTGTTTATTCATTGTTATTTTCAACTGCCAGATTGAAAGACGAAGTTTTAAAAAATTCTCCTCAAATATGGATACTTTCACATTTGTAAACGTCAGTCTTGGTAATCTAAAATTTACTCCTGAGCTCTAACTTTTTAAACCTGATTAAATGCAAAACAATGCATAGAATCTTATAAATATTGCAGCAACTATGCACGATCAAAGAACAAACACTGATGCTATTCTTGAGACCATAAAATAAACATATTAAAAATATATGAGTAAACATGAGAGAGGCATAGAAATGCGGTGACATGTAAAATAAATACTAAAATACATACTCAACTTGTAGTGAAAAGTCAGGATTCTCTGGTCACCATCCAACCATGTACCCGCAAATCTATACAGTCGCCTCAGATCTTCATAAACTACCACTGTGCTGTATGTGTTGTTAATAAGCAGAGGGAATTTCTTACAGTGTAGATAAGGATATGAAAATTTCAAAGGAGAAGGCAGTCAGATCTAACTGTCTTCTCATGGGGTATATGATTTCACTGAGATAATAACCATATCCCAAAGAATGAAAGCCTCTTGTTTTCTAATTCTTCTAAAAATGCAGGCCTTAACTAAACTATCAACCCCAAAATTGCACTGTACTTATAAAGCAATTTTTATACAAAGTATTTTATGATTCTTAAAATTACTTAAACAACTTTCCATTTGCTATGAGAGGAATGTCAGTTGGCTGAACACATCCTCCTTGTCAGACGTGAAACTTAAACTCAGCTGTGACTCAGGGAAACCCTGGCTGCCCTTGTGAACTCCTGTTCTTTTAGCTCAGTTTCACAGGGTGAATTCACAGGTGGGAATGGACTTGGGTGAAGTTGAAAGTCACTTGAACCAGATGGTTACAAATAGGCCAAGTGTCCTGTGCCTGTATAGCTCTTTGTTTGGGTATGGGATAAGAGGCTTTCTGACTCAGCACAAATAAAACTGTTTTTTAATGAAAGGGAGGTCAAACACTCAGCCATGCCACCTGGCATCATTTAAAGAACCAGTTTGAGCTGATCATGTTCGAGTAAAATAGATACTTTTCATGTAAAATCAACAGAAAGAAAGGAGAGAGAGAAGAAAAAAAATACCCATGTCATAAAAGAGACAGTTAAAATGACCTCAGTGGAGGTTACAGTGTTGTCCACCTGTGGTTGTAAACATCGAAAGAGTGACTGCTTCTCTTTACATTTTTTTGTAGCAAGCGCAGATAGGACAGAGTCAGATAGACCCTTAGTAAATGCATTAAAACATTTAAGAGTGAGGAGGAAAATGAGTTTTCTGGGAGTGTGCAAATCCTTTAAGTCCTGGTGACAGCCAGTGTTCTGGACCCAAGTTGGAGTATTAGCTGGTAGGGAAAATGCAACAACACCAAGTAATTGGGATTTTCTTTTTATACCTTTCACAGTATCAAAAGATCATCATTTGTTTCCAAAAACTATACATATCCCCAAGTACCTAGTTGAAATAATCTGACTTCTCCATGTATCTTCTTAAGTAAGCATCAAATATCAAGTGGATTGCTTTCTTCTAGGGCAGAAGGAAGTATGTGTTGTGACTAATTATGAAAAAGTAAAACTAGCATTTATATTAATTTAAACATTTTCTGGGATGAAAGTTTGAGAATATGGAGAAGAATCCAGGAAGCTAGATTCACTAGATGTTTGGGGACAGAATAAATGGGGTCAACTCAGTGAATACAGATGAACACAAAAGGATAACACTCAGTTATAACATGAAAGCCGGATTGAAATCTGAATTCTATTATGTTTGACTAAGGACAGGGCAGTTTCTAGTAAGAGTTGGGGGAAAGCTTTGTCTTTAGTTTGTCAACAGAGGTGTCAGCTTCCTTCTTCAACCCTTCAGCGACTCAGTACATAATACTCTCCCCCACAACAATGGGTATCTCAGGTACATCGATTTACTGTGTGAATTTAATTCCATGTGTGAAATTTCTCATAGGTTCTTTCTATTTGGGGTTTTTGGGACCATCCTAGAAAATGAAAGGCTTTATCTTTGGTAAATAAATAAATAGATTTGGCCAGGCGCGGTGGCTCACGCCTGTAATCCCTGCACTTTGGGAGGCCAAGGTGGGCAGATCACCTGAGGTCAGGAGTTGGAGACCAGCCTGACCAACATGGAGAAACCCCATTTCTACTAAAAATACAAAATTAGCCGGGCATAGTGGTGCATGCCTATAATCCCAGCTATTTGGAAGGCTGAGGCAGGAGAATCACTTGAACCCGGGAGGCAGAGGTTGCGGTGAGCTGGAGACCGAACCATTGCACTCCAGCCTGAGCAACAAGAGCGAAACTCTGTCTCAAAAAAAAATAATAATAAATAAAAAATAGATTTATAGGATCCATTGAAGAAAGTTTGTTTTAAAGCTCAGAGCAATCTTGCTGAATTGGAAGGGATTAGAAGAGACAGAAAATGGCCTGAGTTTTTTGAGCTTGGTGAGGAGGCAGAACCTGCCATGTATCTCAAATTCTACATCCTTATTTCTCTACTATTTATTCTCTCATTCTGTTTTCCTTAGCAGTAGACCATATTTAGTACAGAAAGCAGATCTCACATTCATCTAATCTTTTGTTCTGTGGGAAATTGAGGAGGTGAAGAATTATTTTCATGCATAGAGAAAACTAAATTGAAACAGAGAAAATGAAGAAACCAAAGTTTAAAGCAGAGAAGAATTAAAGAAGGAAGATTTCCAGAACCTTATCAAGTACTTGCAAATTCAGAGACTTAGTTGTTGTCCAATAGCTGCCTTCATCTGTCAGAGTAAGCGATGAAATGTGTAAAATATCATTTGTGTCTTTTATCATCAAGAAGCAGGACTACTGTCATCTTCATGTTTCTTATAACTGCTATTTCTGGTAATTCTAAAGCTATTAAATGCTATGAAATGTAAACTAGCTCTAATGTACTCAAGGAGCAGCCAATTTACACAACAGCTGGGGGAAAAAAATCAAAGCCATTCCATTGGACCAGCTGAATTGTGAGAGAGGTATTTCATACCCTCCAGCTGACACAGCATGTAGATCAAACTGGCAGCTGTATTTTAGGGAAAATATGTCACAACAGACAAATGTAAGAAAAGGACAAATCCACAAAAAGGATCTTTTGCAAATGAATCACTACAGTAGGAAGACTGCAGAATGAGTAATAAAGAGGCATCTTCCCCTCAATATTTAGAAAGCCCCTCATACTCACTGCAACCGCTACAAGATAAAGTAAATTTTTAAGTTTCTGTCTTACAGAAACAGAAATTATGAGCCAGAATTTCCTCAGTACATTCACCATTGGTCTCTTTGTGCTGTTCTTAGCTATAAAATTGTCAATAATGAAATCCATCTAAAAGCCACAAAGATAAAAGACAAGAGAAACAGGAACCCAGGTATATAGTTTTGGCACATAACCAGTCAGGGCATACTACAACTTCACATTTAGAACTGTGCTAAATATAAACCTGTTGTCAAAATGACCTTGGCATATTTACCGAGTGATGTGTTATATTGAGCTTATCATGTGGCAACATTGTTATATGTGAACCAGGTACCATTATTGGTTCCGTTTGGACTGATGAGGAAATGGTGACAGAGTGCTTAAGTAGCTTTCCCAAGGTCAAACAGTAAGCTGCAAAGCTGGGACTTGAACCCAGATCATTGAGATTCTAAAGATAGGATACTTTGCCTCATTTTACTCTTCCTGGTGGTCACCTGGTTTTACCTGAACCATCCTGTGATGAAGAGATTGCTGCAGTTCCCAGTCCCTGAGGCAGAGTGTTCAAGTTTTGAGCAACTCAGAATGTCATCCTGTCTCCTCCACTCATTTCTGTTGGCAAAAAATCTTGGAACCATATATATATAGCCATATATATTCAAATAATTATTTATTTGGATGACAGTTATTCACATGTTTGGAGGTGGCTATCAACCTGATTTCATTCTTAATTTTCTCTTTTCTTTACTGAAACCTCCAGTTGTTTCTTATATGGCAGGTACTGAGTCCCTTTGACTTTCTTTATTTTTTTTATTTTTTTTGAGACAGAGTTTTGCTCTTGTTGCCAAGGCTGGAGTGAAATGGCGTGATCTCGGTTCACTGCAACCTCCGCCCCTTGGGTTCAAGCGATTCTCCTACCTCAGCCTCCAGAGTAGCTGGGATTACAGGCGCGCCAACACGTCTGGCTAATTTTTGTATTTTTAGTAGAGATGGGGTTTCGCCACATTGGCCAGGCTGGTCTCAAACGCCTGACCTCAGGTGTTCCACCCGCCTCGGCCTCCCAAAGTGCTGGGTTTACAGGCATGAGCCACTGCGCCCAGCCTGACTTTCTAGTTATGGGGAATGTTACATATTCTCCATGTGTCAGTCTCTCCAACTCTAAAATGGAGACTATAATATCTCCTATCACTTAGCTTTGTTGAGAAAATGTAATACTGAATTAATACATGTAAAATTCGTACTACCTGACACATAGAAAGTGCTCAATAAATGTTTGTTTTTAGTAATATTATTGCTGTTATTATTACCTGTAGGGCTATTGTGATTAAAATGTGATCACAGTGGTAAAATCTGTATCAGAAAGTGTGGTGCAATTTAATTACTTAGTATATGTAAATTTCCTTACCTTTTGGATCACAAAGCATCTAATGTATGGGTAGACTTCACAACTCCTTTCAGCCCTGTAGGAGTTTATTTTCTTGGTTTTCACATTTTATAGTTTGCAGCTACAATAGACTAGTTCGATTTCTTAGCTCTGTATTAGTAATAGATTCTTGTTATGTATATTTCTTTCTTAGACAAACATGACCTCTGACTTTAGAATGAATGACGTCTCATTCTATTGTACATCAACTGCAGAAAAAAATCAACAATCTGCTGTAGTGTCTTGATAAATGTGTCTTTCCATGGGGCCAGTCTTCCTGATTCTGGAATGTTTGAAGAATGTTCTTGAAGACAGTGGTGGACATTCTCCACACCCATCAGTGGGCCAGCAGCAAGGCCTTAGAAATGAATGTCTGTCACAGTACAGATGCTCTGGTTTTTCATTAGACTCCACAGCTGTAGCATTTCATGGAGTGTTTTCTCAGGAAAAACATAATGGTGTGAACTTCCACACTGAAGAGCAAACACATTTCCCTGAGAATTTTTATGATATAATTTTCTAGGCTACTTTTTCTTTTGCTTTTTCTCTATCAGTTTGGCTAACCGAATGATAACTGAAACTATGTGTATATATATGTATATATATACGCAGACATATATATATATATATATATATATATATATATATAAATGCGTTTTTTAACATATATAGCACTCTGAGAGCACACACACACACACACGTACAGATACAATTAGTGGGAAAAAGCCACAACAAAAAAAGAAAACACAGGGCATCTGCTTTGTCTACTCAATAACTCCTGTGGCATATGTACATGGTAAGAAGACGAGAAATCCAAGTGTTGAGCCAGTGATGTGTTAGTACCAGGTGCAAGAAGGCCTTACATCGTGGGGAACCACTAAGCATGTAATTGCATTATAAATGGTCTTCATACAAATGGGTCATGGAAAATATTAGCATTTTTGTATGCCAGGAGAGGGGAGACTTATATCATTCTTCACATTCTGAGAATAAAAATAATCTCTATTTCACTCCTTTCTGTACCAAAATGAAACATTTACTCTAATCACTATTTCATGATCATAAAGCTATTTATAAAGAATAAGAAAAATGTGTTTTAAAATGTTGATTACATTGAGAGCATTTTACCAATGTTAATTAATATTGATTTTAAGTTCCCAAAGTACATATGACTAAAATCCTTTAATATCTTAACATAATCAATTATTTTTCACAACTATGTAAAAATTATTCAATCCTGGAATTCAATCTAATCCTCCAAAGTACAAGTACTTTCAACTACCACCTTCAATGTTTTTGGACCACATATATTTTTCCCACTCTGTAAAACCTAGCTACATGATTGCAAAATAATGGATTAAATAAAAATGGTTAATAGAATTTGACCCTTGTAGATAGGTTGTCTCATTCCTTGGATGTTTGGGATGTTAGCACTCAGTTTTACCTCTAATATAAAGTGCTTTAAATGTACTGTCTTTCATACACTGAACATAACATGGGAACTGTTCTGTGAAATTTATTTCATGGCCTTTTTTCTCCTTTTCCTATTAAGCATTCATAACTCATTTACTGGTACATTGTAGATTCCTGCTGGCTTGGTCATCAACACACCAATTCCCCCTCCAGCAATCACAGATGATCTCAGAGGCCTCAGTTGAAAACAAAGTGTGGTTTGATGGTGCTATATTCCTCTTCTTTTTTTTTTTTTTTTTTTTTTGAGGTGGAGTCTTGCCCTGTCACCCAGGCTGGAGTGCAATGGAGTGATCTTGGCTCACTGCAACCTCTTCCTCCCGGGTTCAGCCGATTCTCCTGCCTAACCTCCCGAGTAGCTGGGATGACAGGCACGTGCCACCAAACACGGCTAATTTTTTGTATTTTTAGTAGAGACGGGGTTTCACCATGTTGGCCAGGCTGGTCTTGAACTCCTGACCTCGTGATCCACCTGCCTCGGCCTCCCAAAGTGCTGGGATTAAGGGCGTGAGCCACTGTACCCAGTCTCAATGGTGCTATATTCTAAGGGTATCCAGGACTGTTTTAAAAAATATGATAAGATACACAGACATGGAATTGACTGTTTTGAAGATCTCTAGAAACAAGAGGCACAGCACCACCATTCAGGGCCACATGTGGAAGCACCAGGGTCATTTAGGAGGCAGAGAGAGCAAGGGGAAAATGTGAACAAGAGCTTCTATTGGGTTTCTTCAGGAAGGAATGGATGGGACAGCATAAGCAGAGTTAGGATTTAATAGTTTGAATAATTTCAGCAGGCTCTGTGGTACAGAGGCCGTCCATAGTTGTCTGGCACTTGGCCCTGGGGTGTTCAGGGGAAGTGGATAGTGGCCTGGCATGTAAGAGCCTATAAAGGAGGTGGTTGGGACTATGGGCTTTGGATTGATTGGTTTGTGTATGAAAGGTACGCTCCTAGCGTAGTTGTTTGCTATGTCTAGAAGTTTTCTAATCCTGGGTGGGGGGAGATCCCTCTGTGGTCAACAAGGCCCTACGATGTGAAAGCATAAGCATATAGAAAATAAAAGTCATTGCAAATACATCTCATGCCCATGGTGAGAGAGATACTGCAACGGTAGGACTGGTTCGTGAGCTCCTCAAGGGAGAAATTGCCTTACCTGTCATTACATGTCCAGCCAGAGCACAGAACCTGCTCCATGGGAAGTGATTACAAAGATTTGATGTGTTCTGGGGCCTAGAATTTACTACCGGTAAGTTTGGCTTGCCTCTTGAAATGTATTAAATATACTTAGAAGGAAAACAAAAGACCAAATTAGAACCCTTGTTTGTTCATCTAATAATAACACTAATCTGTAACACTTTTTCTTTCTTTCTTTCTTTTTTTTTTTTTTTTTTTTTGAGACACAGTTTCGCTCTTGTTGCCCAGGCTGGAGTGCAATGGCACGATTTCGGCTCACCACAGCCTCCGTCTCCCAAGTTCAAGCAATTCTCTTGCCTCAGCCTTCCCGAGTAGCTGGGATTACAGGCATGTGCCACCATGCCTGGCTAATTTTTGTATATTTAGTAGAGATGGGGTTTCTCCATGTTGGTCAGGTCTGTCTTGAACTCCCAACCTCAGGTGATCTGCTCATCTCGGCCTCCCGAAGTGCTGGGATTACAGGTGTGAGCCACCGCACTCGGCCAACACTTTTTCTTTAGTGTACCTCAGATTCACTAATTCCCTACATATACTTCCAAATAATTGACAGATGTGAATTTCAAATGGCACATAGTACTCCGTGTCTGAGCTCTTTGATGAGCCCTATCTACCTCCCCTGTCCTGCGTCACTTAATAAATCCACGGGCTTTTCCTTTCTAACATTTGTATGTGTCTGTTTGTGCTCACTGCCATGGTGCTTAGGAGATCAAACATATCTGTTAGTACAATAGCAACCGAATATTGAAAAACTGGGGGTATATAGCCCACAGAGTATATCAGAGTGAATAACTAAAACCAAGCTAAATTGTTACTGCCAAAATAAGTGGAAGCAACAGACTTCTCTTTAAGGATGAGAAAATTCAAGTTGTTCTCATTATTTAAAGATATTTTGGGAGTCGTAAAATCAAAAGATTTTATTAAGCATTTTTCTTAAGTTTACAGAAATTATATATCCTTAAAGGAAACGGAATACATGCAATTTGAGTTTATTTCATATTACTTTATCAAGTTATGCATTTATAAATGCTGGCTCACATTTTGTAAAGCCCTTAGCAATTTTTTTAGTAATATGTTTTATATTTTTTAAAAAGGAAAACTATTTTAGTGGAAGGGAATGCCAATATTAGGACCTTAATAATTATTAAATATACCTCCTTTATGTGTTAAGGTTCAAGCAACCCTTGTCTTTTTCAAGAAGGTAACTAAAGTTTGAGGTTTGCTTTAGTAGGGTTTTTTGGGTTTTGTTTTCTGATTACAGTGTCTTAAGTTCAGCTAGCTGGCATGAAAGTATATATTCTATATCAAATTTATTGACAAAGTAACTATTGAAATGAGTGCTGCCCTCCCCCGTTTGTAACCTCCATTAGCTTGAGGAAGATTTGTGAATCTACATTTTAGAATTGGTAAAATCTACGTGGCATGGTCAAAAACCTTGAAACGAAATCAGTAGACCAGTCCATATAGCCCCTCTCTGTCCTAACGTACTGTGTGGTCTGTGACTGATCATTGAATCTCTGAATGGAAGTGGTCTGGACTCAATTATTTCTAAATCTCCTTCTTTTTCAAAAAAAAAGATTATATGCAGAAACATTAACATAGGTATAAGATGAGATGAGGGCATACATGGACTGAGGATTTAAATTGACATCTACTGAGATTAGAATCCATTGATTCCAGGAGTTCTCACCCCATGAGTCAATATCACCTTAGGGTTAAATGATCCATCAGATTATTCCTTAACTCAGAGCATTATTCTTAATTGCTACACAAACACCTGGGAAACATGGTTACTGTATAAACATATACTAAGCGGGGAATGAAGCTAGTATTTTGAATAATAGATTTAACACATGAACAATTTTAGGCAGTTGCAAAAATGGTTTTGAAAATGAACTCTACATACATGGTAATGCAGTGGGAAGAAAATATTCCACCAATTTGAATTTGAAAATGGTGAAGTAAAAGTAGAATGAAAGCAGTTAACATTACTCTTCCATATTAAACCTTTCAAAGAGTCACCAAAGGCTTTAAATCTTGCTTAACTTTTCAATATATGGCCCCTGCTACTTACCTAATTTCTTGCCACACTTTCCCTGTGCTTCCTCTGTTCCCACCAATATGCTAAGCACATCATCATGGGGGTCTTCTCTAGAATATTGGATTAGTTTATGTCTCCCTATTACACTCTTCTTTAGTGGTATTCTGTATTTCATAACAGTCATCTTAATTTCAGAGAAATGTTTAATGTCAATCTTCTTTGCTAAAATATAAGCTCAAATACTCATGATTGTTGCCTGGCTTTTTGAAGGGATATGGTCCCATGGCTTAGCACAGCATCTGCTACATGATTGCTCAAGTTATGTGCTGAAATAAGTATATTAATGTTTATTTTTCAATTTTATCTAGGTACGCAGAGCATGCAAACAGTACTTGATGATTTGTGACTTAAAGCTTAAGAAGGAAAAAACTTAAATCCTTATCAACTCCTTAGTCCCCCGAAATGGGGGATTGTAAACCTAGAGAAAAACAGGATTGGGGTGTGTTTGTGTGTGCGTGTGTGTGTGTGTGTGTGTGTGTGTGTGTGTGTGTTGCAGGATGGGGAGGGAGGAGAAATAAGTAGAGAACACCCAAGATCCCTATGACATTGACAAATGACTGACACAGAGAAAGTATAATCATATGTTATTTTTGAAGGCATGTAAACTAAACTTGGTGAATTATACAAACAAACGCATAAAAGGTCAATTTACTAATAGATGAAGAAAACAATCTCCTCATTTAATTTATGTTTTATTTGCTATTTGCCTTATATATTCTGTCTCTTGAAATATTGATGTGCTTCATGTACAGGCACTATTTCTGATGTGATGTCAAATAAAGAGTTTTTTTCTTCAACTTTGTGCAAAATGGTTTTATCTCTGGAATGTTTCTTCTACCAGAATCCTGATTGGTCACAGTTACTTAATGGCAGCTGCTGTCTGCAGGAAATGTCAAGGAGAATAGAAAATGGGGGCCAGTGATGTTGGAGAATAGGGAGCATGATAGTGTGAGAAGGAGAGAAAGAATTGACTCTTTCCAATTTACTCAAACCCCTAGCAAGCGTTCTCAGTACAGGCTGAATTGAAGATATGGTCAAAGCCAGCTGTCTGTGGATGTTCACTGCACATTACCCTCTCCATGCTTAATCATTATGAGTCACCTATTTGTATTGCTCAAGCTCAGTACTCAGACTCAGAGTGTGTCTGCTTGGTGCCGAATCACTCTGCACAAAGAGAAAAATCCATTTCATCATATCAGTTTCTTTTTCTATCTCAGTGATTCCCCAGAGCTTCTCCAGAACCAGGTATATCAGAAACACAGTAGATAATTATTAAAAACATAGAATTTGAACTTTGTTACAAACTTTATGAATCAGAATAACCATGTATGTGGTCTAGGAAAATGCATTTTATTAATCTCCCTAGGCAATTCTGGTAAGCAATGGGGCAAAGAACTCTTGTAAACATAAAACTAAATTAGCAATATGATTTTCTAATAATTTTAGACCATTTATTGTTTTCAAGCCATGCCTGAAAGTTAGAAACCCAATTTTCTAGAAGTTTATAAGCTCAGAGATTGTCATCCTAGAAAAGCAATGAAGTTAAATGGAAAGAAAACAGGACCAGGTTTTGGAGAACCTGGGTTCAAGTCAGGTTTTGCTTCGTTACTAACTTTTGGTCAGAATTGACTATGGAAGTATCAATATTTGCATTATCACCCACAAATATGGTGATTTCATACGGTTCAGCCAAATGCCTTAACTCTCTGAGCATTGTTTTCTGTATTTTAAATGAGATAAGAATATTATCAGAAGGCTATTTTTAGGATTAAGTGAGCTTTTACAGTTGATTCCACTCTAAAGTTATAATGTGAGCTGATCTATCATCTCCATTGGAGACCACACTACTATTAAAGGCTGATCTTTGTGTTTTGGCATTGTACACCACTGAAATATGGCCTGCAGTAATTTTCATTGTACATACACATAAAATCTACTCCACAATTTAGGAAACTGAATGATGACTGTAAGTCCATGCCATCCTATGAGACTTCTCCAAAAGACTCATGAAAAACTATGGGTTCTTGTCTGCTTCTGCTAGAACAGTCTCTTGGATTTGTTCCCTTTCCATGCATCCTCATGCTATTCCTTCAACCCTGGTTACCTCCATTTTCTTGATTCATCAGGACATAGAGCAGCTGCTTTATTATGTTGCTCTCCCTAATTGTCTGAGGCATCCAGGGAAGAATTGCTCAATTCCGAAAAACCTTTCCAATATTAGCATGCTGGCCCTACTCCAGGACCTTGGGATGGAGATTCCAACTAGCTACTTAAACTATCAAAATTAATACCCAGAAATCCTTAGTAAATGATTCTGGTGAGATGATTTGTGGGTAGGTACTGTGAATGGGAATTGGTGATTTGGGAGAGCAAAAATTAGTTCACCAAGAACAAACCGAAGTAAGTACCTATCAATTGGATTTTCTTTTTCTGGGTAACTTTGACTTGTGATTGAAGACATTTAATAATGTCTCTCATATGTCCTTCTGAAAAAGTTGGGAAAATATGTGTTTGTGATTGAACAATTAGGTGGAATCATAGCCACCTGAAAACTGTGCTGAGTTTTGTTCAGAGAGATCCTATGTGGTGTCTTCACAGTGATGTGCTGGAGCTCTACTAGCTCTTGAGAGCTTATTGTGTACACCTCTTCCCAATGCCTCCTTTAGTAATATCACATTGGTAGCTTGAAATTGACTGCAGTGAGATTACGTACATCAAGAAAATTGGCCAACACTACAAATCTGGGCTTGTCCTCTAGCAAATCAATGGTTAAACATTTTTCTGTACACCATTGGGTCTATGTTTTTTCCTTCAATTTTGAATTCAGTTACTAAAAACATACTGTATTTATTAGTCAATATCATAGAGTTGGAGCAGAAAAGGATGCCACATACTCTACGGTGAGGAAATTCCTAGTCCAATATGAGAGACAGACATACAACCTGAAAAACCCTAGATATTCTACTCCCTTTATTTCTTCTGTGCTCTCATTTATCACCAGTTTCTCTACTCATACATTGTGGTCTTAGCCACAGGCTTTTTGCTATTCCTTAAAAATCACAGGCTCATTCCTGCCTCAAGCTTTTGCATTTGCTATTCCTTCTACCAGGAATGCCCCTCTTCCAGATCTTTGTATCCCTGGCTCTGCCTCAGTTCAAGTACCATACCTTCAGAAAAACTTTCCCCTACTTACCTCCAATCTAAAGTAACCATCTCACTCTGATCCTCACTCTATGATCACAAAGCCTGGTTTTTTAAATTTAAATAAACTTTTAATTTTAGAATTGCTTTAGATTTACAGTAAAGTTGCAAAGACATTTCAAAGAGCTCCTATATATCACATCAAGTTACCTCTATTTTAACATCTTACATTACTATATTTCATATGATAGAAAACCAAATATTAGTATATTACTATTAACTAAACTCCACATTGTATTTGGATTTCACTAGTTTATATCTAATTTTAAAAAATGTTCCAAGATCACAATCAGGATACCACATTATGTTTAATCACCATGTTTCTTTAGCCTCCTCTGGACTCTGACAGTTTCTTATATATTTCTTATTTTCGATGGACTTGCCAGTTCTAAGAATGACTGGTGAAGTAGTTTGTCAAATGTCCCTCAATTTAGGTTTGTCTGAAGTTTTTCTCATGGTTAAACTGAGGTTATGGAGTTTTGGGAGGAAGACTAGAGATGGGAAGCGCCATACTTATTACATCGTATCAACGGTACATGTTATCCACATGATAGCATCACCGATGAAGCTAACCTGGGTCACTGGGATGGAGCTAGTGCTTGTTAGGATTTTCCACTGTAAAGTTACTCCCCTGCCTCCCGTTATAGTTCCCTCCGGAAGAAAGTCATTAAGTGCAGTCCACACTCAAGGGGTGGAGTGTTAAGCTCCAATTCCATGAGATGTGAGTATATAAATTGTTTTTCTGTACCACAGATTTCTCCCCTCTCTCTCATATATTTACTTATTTGATCTTTTATTTATTTTCATATGGATTCATATATATATATGTATAATATTTTGTATTATGATCCATTACAATGTTTTTCTTGTTGTTGCTGTTGTTTTTGTTGCTCAATTTGCTCTAGCTTTGCCCACTGGGAACATTTTCAGGTTGGCTCCTGTGTTTCTTTGACATGACTTCATCTTTTTTGTTGGAACACTGCATTACTTTCTGGTACTATTAGATGTTCCAGGCTCATCTTGTATATTCTCTGCCCCAGCCATTTCTCCAGGAAGCCCTGATTCCTGTGATTGGAGGATGGTATCACAAATTAAGACCTGAGTGCTTGATTATTGCAACAGAGGTATACTTGCTTATAAGCCCTCTCAGTGAACAGAGCTAAGAAAGATATGTATGCTTAATAAACCATGCATACACACCTGTCTAAAATTATTTCTGTATGTATCCAACTATGTTAAATTAAGATAAAAATGAGTTTATACTGGTCTCCAATCCTAATTCAGTATCAAAGGGTTTATTTACCCCCTCGTTTATCTGTAACATTCTACTCAACAGTTAGAAACCTGATTAACACCTGCTATCCATTTACTTTTTTGTTCAATCCAAGTATATCTGTGTGCCAAATTCAGAATCGATAACCTATATTCTAATGAGAAATGACTTTATCAAAACTAGGTTACCGTGTTTATATTCATTTCCTCTTGTCTTTAGTCTTACAGCTACAAGTCCAAAGATTATTTTCCACAGACACAACCCAATCGTAATGCTCATCATCTGAAATATCACACTTATTTGTATATTGTTTTTATTTCCAAATAGAAAAAAAATCCAGAAGACCAGAAAAACCCGATATGTCTCTCTTGCTAAATATTTTAACCCCAGCCTCAAAGACAGTGTCAGCACATCAATACAATGCCAGTTAAATATTAAATAAAATATTAAACAGTTAATATTTGTTGTATGAAGGGATGAATGGACTCAGACAACGTATTTTGAATCACTTGATTCTCTTCACTTGGTCAGGCATAATTAGGTACTAAGTCATGAACACATTCCTTCAAATCATGGATGAAAATGTTGATAAATAAAATGTTGATGAAATAATTTGAACTGAAAAATAAAATTGTCAACAGATACAGATACTCATAAAAAATGATGTGTTTCTTCCTTTTCTGTAGGAAAGTAATCAAATGAAGGTAATGCTAACATTTAAATGACTGGAACCATGGGGCAAGACCCTGGGGCCTTGGTCACCCAATCCTTTACGAATTGCCTTCTATTTAAATAAGTTATGGAAGGAAACTTTGCTCTTCAGGTAGGTTTGTCCTGATCCCACTCAACTCTCCTCAGAGAAGATGATTATCCCTCTATTCCAGATGAATTCATACTACAGTTTCACCAAAATATGTTAAATCTATACCCCTAAATTGCTACTCCTAAGACCTATGACTCTAAACTAATATTGAATGCTTAATAGCTATATTTTAGACAATTACTAGAAAAAATCATCTCATGCTCTCCATCATTCAGTATTTTTACCAGTGCAATTGATTTAAAAAAATAATATTTCAGAAGAGTTGTTTGAATGAGATGTGTTGCATATACTTTTCCAGACATTAAAAAATGAATCCTTAGATTGTCATAACAGAAGATCTGGTACTTAGATCATATTATATTGCCTCCTTCCCTGATATTCATACATACAGAAATGCTTTTACTGTCAGCCTTATTGAAGAATAGTCTGAGAAACAATCTTGATAAACTGTGTGGTGCCATGGCAAGAATAAACAAATCTAAGAAATTAAATAGAGTCTAAAATGGTTTGTTTGATGAAAGTGTCATTTCAAATTTGGTGATCAGGGTAAGGGCAAAAATAAAGGGATATTTTCTCATCTTTTAATTTATATGCTTTCCTGTTGTTTTCTTATTTTTAGTAAAAATGTATTACTTATTTAATTTAAACTGTGAGAAAGTAAAAGAATAACAGGAAAAATAACTCTTCCGGATCTTGCCTGTGTAGTAATTTAAAAGATGTTGTTCATTTACAACACATCATAACCTCTTCTTTTGACCCTGCCCAGAATGAAAAATAATTCTATTTCACTTTTTATTTTAGGAATAAGTATACCCCTGAGCAACTGTTTTGTTGAATTTTATGAACTCTGTGAATTATGTAATTGTCTATATGTCTCATTGTATTTTGGATATTAGAAAAATTAGAGCTAGGCCAGGCATGGTGGTTCACACCTGTAATCCCAGTATTTGGGGATGCTGAGGCGGGAGGACCACTTGAGGTCAGGAGTTCAAGACCAGCCTGGCCTACACGGTGAAACCCCATCTCTACTAAAAATACAAAAAATTAGCCAGGCGTCATGGTGGGAGCCTGTAATCCCACCTACTTGGGAGGCTGAGGCAGGAGAATCACTGGAACCTGGGAGGCAGAGGCTCTAGTGAGCTGAGATCATGCCACTGTACTCCAGGCTGGGCGACAGAGCAAGACTCCATAAAAAAAAAAAAAGAAGAAGAAGAAAGAAACAAAAATTAGAGTTAGAGCCAAATTTGTCACATTTTAAATTTATGCTCTCTTTCCCAAAAGGATATATATTTTTAAACTTACTCAAATCTTTTCTGAAACAACATGGTGTATAAATATATAGTGAAATAAACAGAAATGATTAAGTGATTAGTTCCATTAGACGATTGTACTCAGATATCCCCTGTCTCTAGTGCAAGAGTGCCAAATTACCTCAAATTCTCATGGCAGGTGGTCAAGTCACACTTTCCCTTGGACAGGGCTGGACACAAATGGAATAATTATAACTCATTAGCTCCCCATTTCGTAGGTTATATACAAATCACTTCATATTAAGGAGATATCACACAAAGCATGTCCCTATTACTTGCCATCATATATTGCCTTATGTGAATTGCATTTCAGCATCTCTGATAGAGATTTAAGAATTGCTTTAGTCCCTGGAGAACAGCATGTTAACCTCGGCAGGAATGTCCACACAAGCCACCTCTCAGGACCACTAGTTTTGGAAATGTCCCATTGTTTCAGTTGTTTATTACTGCATAAAACTCTTCCAATACTTAACAAAGTAAAACACCAGTCATTTATTATTATTATTACTATCATCTCTTCATGGTTTTGGGTGCTGACTGTACTCAGCGGGGCAGTTCTTGCTTCAAGTCTTTCATGCACTTTGATAGTGACAGGGACTGAAGTCATCTGTGAGAATGTCTGATCTTACATGGCTGGCAGGTAATTCTAGCTGTAAACTGAGATCTCAAAAAAGGGTATTGACTGGAACACCTACAAGGGGGTCTTCTCATGTGGCCTTGGTTCCAAGGGTGAATATCCTGAGAGAGAGTGAGCCAGAGGGAAACTATGCCTTTTCAAACCTAGCCTCAGAAGTGGTGCAGCATCATTCTAGCCACATTTTACTATTTAGAAGCTAGTAACCAAGGCCAGCCTAAGTTCAAAATGAGGGGAATTCGGCTTCAGCTTTTAAAGAAGGCTTCAAAGAATTTGTGGGCATGCTTTCAAAACATTTCATATATCTTGCTCTTTGATGTTGATTATTACTTGTTTCAGATGGCTTCGTTTCCCTCTCTATGGCCCTGCCCCTCAGTGGCATGCACCCCACTAAGCCTATCACTATCACCACCATTAACATCACCACAAAGCATTCACCACAATGACCTGGAACTCTATATCTTTTTGTCACTGTATTACGTCCCCAAAACTATGCAGCATTGCCAAATTCTATTTCTTTATGCTTAAGGGAACAAGGTGCTATGCTGAGATTAATATTAGCTTTCACTCTTTGTTGCTAATGATAATCTAAAATTTTAATGCTCCTCTGAATATAACAGGTACATTGATTACAGCTTCTGGACAATTGTAGTCATCCTAGTACCCTTAGTTTACTCAACAAAGTAAAATATATTCTTCATGTATTTTGCCTTTATGTATCAGTCAACTGTAGTACCTCATAAACTATTTTAGATTCCATTCAGCTGGTGATCTGTCTGGTCGGGTAGGGTCAAATCAAAAGGGCAATATATTCATGATAGAGTTGTAAATTTTTTTTAAAGTCGTTTTTACTGTAGGCACATGAGATCACTGGAGAGAATCAAAGGATTGGCTTTTATGAGTCCTGCCTGTATAGGACCAAGGTTCTTAGAAATTATCGCCTAAAATAGCATTTCATGTCCTTTGGAATGTGAAGCCTTGAAAACATTCCATATTAAAATCTTGCCCGCAGTCAAGGCAAAACTCAAAATATTTCTACAGTTAGAGAAGCAATGAGAATTATTAAGATGATAATATTTACAGTGTTTTGCAGTGGATATCTATGATAGAATATAGTGAAGATTTTGCAGGTTGTTTGTATGCATGTGATGTAAATTTGTTTAATGGAAATGAAGCACATTTTGCTAAATCAGTACTACCCTGTGGCATATATGTATAAAATCAGTCATTTCTAAATGAATGTAACTTGATCACTGAACTGGTATTAAATCATTATCCTATTTGTTACTCCACAATTTAATATTTTATGTGAAGTGAGTGACTTTTAACCTTCAAACTACCAATTTTAAAATCCGTTGACATCGTATGGTATGGTATATAATATATTTAGTTAAATTAGTATGTCCAATTTGAAAGACAACTCAACTTCTTTTCCTCAGTATAGCTATGTGAGATTTCCAACAGATGAGAAACTTCTCTACTGTGTTTAAACTTTGAATGTATTTACAGAGGGTTAAAAATATCAGCACTTGCCTGGAGCGGTGGCTCACGCCTGTAATCCCAGCACTTTGGGAGGCCGAGGCGGGCGGATCACGAGGTCAGGAGATTGAGACCATCCTGGATAACACAGTGAAACCCTGTCTCTACTAAAAATACAAAAAATGAGCCAGGCGTCGTGGCGGGCACCTGTAGTCCCAGCTACGTGGGAGGCTGAGGCAGGAGAATGGCGTGAACCCGGGAGGCGGAGCTGGCAGTGAGCTGAGACTGGGCCACTCCACTCCAGCCTGAGTGACAGAGCGAGACTCCGTCTCAAAAAAAAAAAAAAAAAAAAAAAAAATATATATATATATATATATATATATCAGCACTTTACAGTCACATGCTGGTGAAAATTGCCTTTGAAATAATTCATGAAGTAGGAAAAGCAGAATTTAAGTATCATACAATGTAATCCAGTTTTGGTTAAGATTTAGTATTTGTACAACACTAGGGGATATTTAGTGTGTAAATATATTTAATAATATATTTTGTGTTATGTTAGCATTTTTATTATAGACCTTAACTGATTTTAAATAGACATTAAAATCTTCACTTCCCTCTTCTGATTAGGGAGATGTTTCCATCTTATGCCTAGCATTACCCTCATAGTTCTAGAATAGTTAGAACAGTTATAGAGCACGTGAATCATATTGTAGATTGAAAAAAATAGAATCATTTACTGAGAGGGCTGCAGACTACAAATTTTTAATAAATAAATATTTCACCATTTGTTGTGTATATTGAACTTGAAAGAGAAAGTAAATTGTGTAGAATGTATAATTTTATATGGTGCTGTCTCTCTGTGTTAGTAATCAAATGTCCCTCTAGCAAAAGAAAAATAATTAGAGGACCTCTACCACCACCCCAAACACTCAGATCCGAAATAATGTGTCAAGACACACAATGTCATAAACCCTAGTGCTCTTCCTGGTTGCTGTTTTGCTGTCATGAATTGACACCATTAACACAACTTCAATTACATTATCAATCAGTTCTCCCTGAACTAACAGATTAGTTTGTTTCTTTCTTACTTTCCCTGTAAACTATAATTGACTTAGTTTTTCCTAGGTATCCATCTACCTGAGAAGTAATTATAATTGGTTACAGAAGACCTAGGCAATAGTTAATAATATTTTAAATTAGACTGTGCCACAAGGTGGCAGACTTGCAGGTCCAGAATTGTCTTTAATAAGTATTATCCATATCATAGGCTATGAAGTGTCAGCCTAGTGAATCCAGTTTATAAATATTCCTTATCCCACCCATATAGGACTTTAGTCTCTTAAGCTTACTTCCCAATGGCACAAGGCAAATAGCGCATAGGGAGGGTATAGAGAAATACTGCCTATTTCTGTCTAGAAAATGACTAGAAGAAAGAAGAAAAGGAGGGAGAGAACGAAAGAAGCAGTCACCAATTTCCCTGCTTGTGGCTGCAGAGTATAGGAAGGAGCTATCTCTGATAAATAAGGATAACATTAAAGTCTGAGAAGGAGGCTACTTGAGAGATCTAGAAAAGGTTTACTTCTTGGGCTGCCCCCTCTCCTACCAACCTTGAATGAGATTCTAGGAACTTGGCACTTTGATGGGATCTGACAGATGGAAGCCCTGAAATTTCCTTTCCTGAAGAAACCCCAATTCATATATGTCACGGGTATTCAGTCAGGATCTGGCTGGCCTGTCAAAAGGAACCCTGTAGCTGACAAGCTAATAGATGTGATAGGGGATCAATTGCAATCAGCAACCTGGAGCCAGTGGAGACTGAGTTGAGGACCAATCATACGAACCAAACTAAAAGGGACCAGATCACTAACTGAACCAATAACAGGCTTCAGCCATGACTACTAGCAAGGTTAACTGCGTCCATGTTTACAAGGAATGTTGTGAGAGACCAGGAAAATAGAGGGCATCACTTTGGAGGACTTTGGTCCCTTTTCATGTCAAGGTGATCTTTAAAATCCCTCTCTCAATATAACACAAGACCACATTAAGGTGAGAAGCAGGGGCAAGTGGAGGCTTTCTGGGAGTCCAAATATTTTATCCTGATAATCTGCATCTCTGAAAGATGCTTCTCAATATTATTGGACTAAGTTTAAACAAGATTAAATATTTAGTGATAATTTTTCTCCATTGACCAAGTTGGTGATTGACGTGGTCTCCGAATGACAAAATAAATGAATTTTCATTTAATTTGAGTTACATTACCCTGCAAGAGAGGAGAGACAGTGTTCTTTCAGCTCCCCTCTTAGAGTAGGAAATAGTCTCCTTTTTTTTCTCTATCATATCATTGGAGAAAGGGAGGGAACACTGCAGCACTCTTGTGTTTTGAAAATATTCTGTGAATGTGAATTGATGTGCAAATGATTATTCACATTGAGAAAAAAAGAGCTTTCTTTAAGCTCCATCTTCATAATAAAAATTAGTCTTTAATTAGAGTACTAGAGCTTACTGAAATTAAGAAGCTGTGTTTTGCACAATAAATAGTAGGGACTCAGTACAAATTGTCATCACCATTTTGAAGTCTGTCTTCTCCTATGTTCCTTGTCTACAGTATCTTACACACTAAACCAGTTCTCCACCATCGTTGTGCGTGCTATCTCTCTGGTCCTTCTATCTATCAATCCATCAGCTTCCTTCTGGTTTTACTTGTGCCTTCCAAGCTTTGGCCCCATGAGTAGTTGTGTTAATGATGAAAGTGCCAAGTTTTGTGTTTATCTTGATGCTCTTCAATGGGGGACTGCCAGGAATACCTATAGTCAACAAAGTTGAGTTAACTGTAGCAACAAGAAAGACTAAACCGTGAAGAACAGTGGGACACTTCAAACAGGAGTTGAGGAAGTGAACGTTTGTTCTGAAGTGTATGTTGCAAAAAGCAAGAACACTTTTTTTCAGGGTGGCAGAAGAAACTGAGCAGGGCTAGAATCACCACTGGGGAATAAATAATACAGGAGATAGAAAGAAATTATTCTGGCAGATAGTAGGGCAAGAGTCCTTGGCAGAATTTCTTTTCTAGCAAAAAGCAACCCCCAAAATCATTTCTTTTGTAACAATGAGCAGCCTGAAAAATCAAGCTGCAAATACAGATAAGGAAGCTGCAAGATTGCATGGGGGAGTGCTAGCAGTTGCGCCAATAGAAAAGGGCTACCTGGGGGCCAGGCATGTCCAACATGGAGGTTCCATCTTCCCTTTTTTTGTTACCACGTGTACAGTAATAAAGAAATGAGCAACATGGAGCAGCTCAGGCAGAGATCCTGCCTGCCTAACAAAAAATTAGCAGGGGGCAGCCAGAGATTCACTCCCTATGCAAATGGCACAACTGGTCCAATCAGTTTTTCGTGCCCTATGTAGACCAGGCAGCACCTCCCCACCAGCTCATCTATAAAACCCTCTGCATTTCACCCCAGGTCTGGCAACCCACTTTTCCAGGACCTCTCTCTGCAGCAGAGAGCTGTTCTCTTTCTTTCGCCTATTAAACTTCCACTCTCAACCTCATTCTTTGTGTATCCATATCCTTGTTCTTCGTGGAAATGAGACAACAAACCTCGGGTGTTACTCCATACAACAAGGTCGTTTCAGAAACAGAAGTCGATTAAGTTAGCAGAGAGAGAAGAATATTTGGTCCTTTTTGTGGTTGCACAGAGGTTTTGTTTATGTTGTGCTGTTTAAATTTTTGTTGCAGTGGTATCATAGAGTATCGTCGTTTTCATCTTGTTTTATCACAGTTACAGAGAATTCTCAGCCAATGTTGATGTTCTATGAAATTATGTTCAGCCTGAATTTACTATAGTCTATCTCGTAGCAATAAGGCCAACTATCAGCTATCAAGTCTTAGGGCTCTTGGTTTCTTTTCTTTTTTCCTTTCCTTTTCTTTTCTTCTTCTTCTTTTTCTTTTGTTTTGTTTTGATTTGATTTGATTTTTGAGATGGAGTCTAGCTCTGTCACCCAGGCTGGAGTGCAGTGGCATGATCTCGGCTCACTGCAACCTCCACCTCTAGGATTCAAGCGATTCTTCTGCCTCAGCCTCCCGAATAGCTGGGACTACAGGCACGCACCACCATGACCGGATAATTTTTTTATTTTTAGTAGAGATGGGATTTCACCACGTTGGCCAGGCTGGTCTTGAACTCCTGACCTCAGGGAATCCACCTGCCTCGGCCTCCCAAAGTGCTGGGATTACAGACGTGAGTCACCGTGCCGAGCCAGGGATCTTATTTTCTTTCTCACATAGAAACTTTCACACTCTGAACTACCAGATCTGTCATTCCAGTTACCAAGCTTTTGCTGTCAAGAGTTGATCTGAAGAAAATTCTAATTATTTGCCTTGAAAATCCATTACAAATTAACGTTTTCTAACCCCACGTGCTCTTTCACTGCTCCTCATCAATAAAAAAAAACCTCTTGTTGAATTTCTATTGTGATCACCTAAGCCACTTCAGACTTTTTATACACTCCTCAGTGGTATAATTTAATCAGCATCTTACTCTTAATAGATGACTACATCTACAAACTAGTTGAAAGACTGACTGCATATAATTAGAAAATTCACTATCTAAACACCTTCCTTCTTCATTGACTCTAGATGATTCCGTAAATTTAAGCTCAACCTCTCATCCCAGGGCAGGACTTCCAATTTACTTTCGAAGCTTCTAACTCCCCTGATTCCATGTTATCTAACTGCCTTTGATGATATCCAATCAATTCTTTCCTCTATGTCTTCCTTCTTATTTTTATATAATAAATGACAGTTTCCTCTTGTCCACCTACATTCTTTTCCCAAACTAAAAATAAGCTAACCTATTCATCCTTGAGCTCTTATTTATTAACACACTTATTTGCCCTTATTGCCTTTACTTATTTTCTTTTTATCTTAAAAAATGAAAAGTGTCAGAAAATTACAGAGAAATATATAACACCAAGAATTAACAAGTATTTATTTTTTAATGTTTTTATTTTAAAAAATCTTTACTACTGTAAAGATTTGTCGTCTTACAGAATGTAAGAATTACCTTGGCTAAAGGTCAGCATGTCATATAAAAGTAATCAAGTTCTTTTCTGGAATTTCTGTTTCACTCTTAAAATTACTTTGATCTCCAAGTCATCATATCCTGAAACTCTATTGTTCTGACTTTTCTTTTTTTCACCTCCAAGAGTAGTTCATTAAGTCCTAACGATTTTCCCTTCTCATAATCTTTCACAATGGTTGTTCTATCTGTGGGCAATGTCACCTCCAAGGCCTAAGCCTTATTAATTAATACAGAAGTCATTCCAATATTTCCTTAATGTTATCTAGAGTCTCCTATATCCAATTATTAATTTTTTTTTTGAGATGGAGTCTCGCTCTGTTGCCCAGGCTGGAGTGCATTGGCACGAGCTCAGCTCACTGCAATCTCTGTCTCCCGGGTTCAAAAGATTATCCTGCCTAGGCTTCCCTAGTAGCTGGGATTACAGGTGTGCACCACCACACTCAGCTAATTTTTGTATTTTTAGTAGAGACAGGGTTTCACCATGTTGGCCAGGCTGGTCAGAAACTCCTGACCTCAAGTGATCTGCCTGCCTCAGCTTCCCAAAGTGCTGGGATTACAGGCGTGAGCCACTGCACCTGATCTCCAATTAATTTTTCTTACTTTCAGATTTACCTTCCTGAAATACCACAATAACTTTTTCCCTTATTTGTTAAAAAAAAGTCAAATACACATAAAATGTGTGCACATATTCTTTTAGCTGATTGTCAAAATTCTCCAAAAGAGAATTGTTTCTGCTACATTGGTGGAAGAGCCCTGTGATCCTGCCAGACTCAACTACTCACCATTCCCTAATAATGCACTTTTCTTCTTCTATATTGTTTACCCTGTATACAATTCAGTCTTCTTCATTTCTCTTTTGATATCTACCCATCCTTAAGATAATTTGGCCTTCGTTACCTTGTTGGCTTTACTGATTTCCCTAGATCTTGTTTATATATGACTTAGTTTGAGTCATTTTTATGGGTCCTGTTATATGACACATAGAGACAATTCCTTTTATTAATATTTCTTTCTCATATAATTACTTTTGAAGAGATGAATTTTCATGGTAAAATTAGCTTAAAATATTCATCTTGGGATGATATAGTCAACATGTTGAAAGAAAAAGTAAATTGCAGTCAAGAATACTATACCCAGAAAAGCTATCCTTCAGAAATTATGGAGAAAAAAAGTATTTTCCAAATGTGCAAAAACTGAGATAATTCATCACTAGTATACTGGCCTTACAATAAATGCTCAAGGGAGTCCTATTCTGGAAGCAAAATGACAATAATCACTATCATGAAAACAGGCAAAAGTATAAAACTCACTGCTAGAGCAGATACACAAAGGAGAAAGATAAAAGAATCAAAACTTAGCACTACTGAAAACCAACAAACCTCATTTATAAACATTAAGAGAGGAAGAAAGGAACAGAGGATGTACAAAACAACCAGAAATCAATTAACAAAATGACAGGAGTAAGCCCTCACCTATCAATAATAACCTTGAATATAAATGATTTAAATTCCTCACTTAAAAGAGACAGACATGCTGAATGAATTAAAGAAAACATGACGCAACTACATGCTGCCTACAAGGAACTCATTTAATACATACAAACTGACCATGAAGGGATAGAAAAAGATATTCTACACAAAATGAAACCAAAAATGAGCAGGAGTAGCTATATCTATATCAGATAAACAGACTTTAAGTCAAAAATTAGAAATATATAGAAGAGTCTGAAGGGCGCTCTGTACATATGGTCAAATACTTCTCAGGCGTGACCAAGAAAACATGTTCAAACAACTTCTTCCATCTACATTAGATAGCCAGGTTGTGTTTTCTTTTAGTTTAGATGAAAATTGTTCCATTTCACCTGTGATGTTAATCTAGGTACAATATGAAGTTATTTACCAGATTTTTGCATCTATAATGTAATCTTTAAACCTTTTCATTGTTTTTTATCTGTTGTATAAGAGGTCTTTGCCTAAAGGCTTTAGACATAGCAACCCATTAGACTGAAAACATATCAAAGAATTTCCTTTCAATTCTGTAGAATTTCTTTTACTGTGGGCCTCTACCTTGATTGACAATTTCTCTGGGTAGCATAATGGCATTAAGTATATTAGCTCTCAGTGCATATATTTACTCTTTTATTTTTTTAGTAATTTGACATTTCTAGAAAGAGCCACACTTTAGTCACTTGAATTTATTTAGCTTCTAGTTAAGGAACTGGATTCTATAAGAGGCTGGACTAGTTATTATAGATGAAGTAATACATATTAAATAGGATACTAATTAATATATGTTAATAGAAGAACTACTATGAATGTATAGCATTGTTTTTTCCAACCATGTGAATGCAAACTGCTTCTGATTCTTCTTATTGAATGATATAGAAAATAATGCATTATTAGATCAATAGCTGCAAACCGTGTCTCAAAGTTTGCATTATTGTGCTCTAGTAAACAAACCCAATTCAATACAGCAGCTGCAATAACAGCTATTACATAGTTAAGTTTGCAGTAGTCTATGGTTATCTGTGATAACCCATCCACTCTGTGATTGGCCAGATTGATTAATTAAATGGAGTTATGATAGAATGCCCCCCAAAATAATAAAGCTACTGATGAAGACAGAAGCCTGATTAGAAGTTTATGAATTTACAACTCTCTAATTATTAAATAAGCATGCCACTTATCTGTTTAGTTTATATACTGTTCACATTAATTATATGCCACTAATAAAATTATTTGAATTTCCAAAAGCATCTCCATTCTCATCAGTTTCCCAATTCACACTCATAATTCCTTGGCTCAAAATTTAATCTTCCATATTTTCATCTAAATTTGCCATTGATATTACATTCACTCAAGTGACCCAATATTTTGGATATTTTTGTTTCCATAAGTAAAAAAATGATGTATGGGGATTATTTCTTCCTTATAGGATTAAAATAAACCATTATGTGAGCCCTTTAGAATTTCATCAAAAACATTTTTGATATTGGGAAATAATATAACCACAAATCTCAGCTAAGTGGTAATCTTCCTTGATGTTGAAATTCCATTGTTTTAACATACAGTCCCAAGAATATGAGTTCTCATACAGCACTGAATCCTTATCACAAGAAATTGTTGCTGATTCTGCTGGCTGTAGCCCAGCTCCTTTAGTAATTTTTCTCCACTGAACCAAAATGAATAATAAAGTATGTTCTCTGTGCTCCTTAGCACCCACATATCTCCACCCACCCATCTTCTGTTCCACAACCAAAAAATAAACCTACATACACTTTTAAATATATTATGGTGGATCTAATTTAGAATTCTATACCAGGATGTTAACATATTTATTATTTCTCATAAATATGCTCCAATGCCAAAATTGGCCATTTCTCCTAAAACTGATAAAAGAGGTACTTTCCTTCTGTACATTAATTTGATATCACTCTTAAATATTATTTATTACCTGATATAAAATTATTCAAATGTAGTATGTTTGTATTACAAGTTACACAGTTATTAAAATACTAAGATATTTTTTAAAATGGTGTACTCCCTCTAACAAGTGAGAATAAAAAATAGAAAGATATTTACCATGAGTCAGGAAATTTGAGTCACTTATATGTGCAAAAATAGATAAGCTTCAGTAGTTCAAAGATTTGAGCCACATGTCAAGGACAGCATTGAGTGACAAGTATTAGGAGCACTTGGTCTTCACAGAATAGAATGAAGTGTTAGGAAAAAAATTAACACCATTTCTCTACAAAGTGTTTAGGAATAGCTGAGAACTTTCAAGGCTATAAACTATGAAAAATATCCTGGGGTAACCCTAGTAGGGACAGAATGCTTCCAGTTCATGGGATAATAGTATTCAAATCTGAACAAGTTTCAAAAGAATTACAGATTCCTAAGTCAGCATTGCTCATTTTTCATCTAAAGTATGCTGCCCTTCCCTATTATTTACTTTTTTATATATTCTTCTTGTCTTAACAAAAAATTTAGCCCTGTTGTATTGAGTCATGAGAGAATAAAACTCATGGCAAAAATCTAAAGTACGTTGTCAGTGATAAATTTAAGCAAACCTCTGACTTCCATGGACAATTTAGTACTAAAATCAACCCAGTTAGTCATATTTTCTTTTATACTCCTAGCTGTTTGGTAGAGAACAGATTAAGAACATGTGTGTTTGTGTGAATAAGCTCATCTTCACATTATGAATGATGTAGGCCTCATCTCCCTGGAATCCAACACAACTGTATTTGTTGGCCTAGTAAAGATGCACAGTCACGGTAAGCATGGTTTCTTGTGGATGTCTTTATTTTCCAATAGCATACCATGCCAATGAAATTCAATTTCTAGTCTTGGAGATGGGCAGGAATTCACTCTCCATTGCACAGATTCATTTATAGCTTCTCTATAACTGCCTAAGATATTAAAAGGCAGTATGACACTAATATGTTTTTACAACTCAGGATTATATTTGTAATTTTCTAATTTAACATTATAGATTGTTAAAGAAAAACTATTCGCGACATTTGTTAAAGATAGTAAGGCAGACTTTATTCAAAGTCCAACAAGGACAATTGGGGGTATATAATAACCAGTGAACATGGTGGCAGATCAGTGGATGAAAAATTACTAAGAGAAAATATCAAGAATAAGGGATTTCTGGCTAAACTAACTTGATAAGATCATTGCTGAAGACAGACCAGAGTTACAAGATGTTAAGAAGGGTGGTCAGATACCAAGGGTGGGGGATTTTCCCTAAACATTCTTGGTGGAATTCTTGCTCAAACTAGATTCTGCAGGGACGGGGAGGGAAGTCCAAGGTCCAGGATAATCAAGCAGGGGATTCAGAGGAGCTTGGCTAAGGTTTTGGTTAAAGGAGAGAGTTTTTTGCCAAGATGTTCTCAGTCCTTATGCTAGATAGGGAATATGAACACAGTAGACCTAGACTTTTGATTTTGAAGGCAACTTTATTATTTCTGCACCAGAGAATAATCAAAAGAATTAACACCTCCGTGGGAGTTAGGGATCTGATACTCTGTCTTTAAGAATTATAATAGCCCAAGGCTCAAATACTACTGGGTAAAGAAATATCTGAGTGGAACAACATTAATCGGCCACTGTTATTATAACCCAGGATCATCATATGGGCATAGATTGGGAATGTGTTTATTGCCTTGGTTTCAATGACTTGCCTTATGCATGTATCCCAAAAGGGTCCCTTGCAGGGTTGTCTGCAAATCAGCATAGTTTAAATTCTCAAAATGCCACAAAGTAGCAATTCTTTTAATCACTTATTAAGATAATCAATAAAAGTGAGCATTTTGTAACAAGAATGGGCCATTAGGAGAAATGCAAACAGGAGAATGGAGAAAATAATCTATAGCAAATGAAAAAAACAGAAGTTCAAAGTTTTAGCTACTTTAATGGAGATGGTCATCATTTATTTTGCCCTCTCAAACATTTTGTATGTCGTTATGTAAAAGAAAGTTAAAGCCATCATATAAGAGAATACCAATCCATTCTTCCCACTTATGGTCAGACACTGAGGTTCTGAATTTCTTACACGGAAATGCTCTGAAGCTTTCTTCAGGTTTAAGAGATTCAGAAACTGGTAGGGAAAATGAAAATAATTTAGACTAAATGATTTTTTTATTGCCCCTGTGGGAGGGAAACAAAAATGACTCAACTGTTTTAATAAGGCTTAAGGTTCATTTAAAGAATCTTCATGATTCATCTGCCTTTATTTTTTCTGTCATGAAACCACTCAACGCTGTTCCCAAAAGAAGAGACAGAAATGATAATAAGGAGGATACCAGCATATAAAGATAATGACTGGTAAAATTAGTTTAAAAAGTTAAACAAGGCATAGAATTCAGACAGTAAATGTTAGTCTTAATGGGTGGTGTGTGTGTGTGCGCGCGCGTGTGTGTGTGCACAAATTATTTTCATTTTATGGCTATCACATATCCACAGATGATGCTTAACTGAAGTCAAATTCATTTCTCAACTTTCAAGATAATAAGTTATCTCAGAAATAACTGCAACTTCTTATAAACATAACCATTGTAAAGTATTTTCAAAGTTGAGAAGTGAAATTATTCTTTTTTCTGTAGTTCAGTGAGTAGACTAAAAGTATATATTTTTTTCATTTGTTTTATTTTTCTTTTTTTGTCATGTCGCTAGACTGGAAATGCTGATTCATTAGCCTCTGATGATTGTGGTGCCTGCAAAGTACCTTACTTAACAGTTTGTCTCAACACATTTATTTACAAGCAGGTCATATGGCATGTAGGTGAGATGCTCTGACTTTCACTGTTGCTTGAGAAAGGCTTTGACAGAACACAGTCAGTTCCTCCCTAGGCATCAGAGTCTGGCAATGAAAACTCCTGCGTATGGTCCCTTTTGGTTTACCCAGTATTATTTCTGCTCTTTTGAAAAATATTGCTAAAAATGACTGATCCCCTTTACCCCTCTACAATATCTATATTGATTAAACAAACAAAGAAAAAATGGTGAGTAGGCTTTGGCAAAGAAAACACTGGAAATTATTCCACTGCCAGCAAACCTGCAAGATAATTAAATATATTTTTGTTTAGGCTGGAGTTTTTTATAATATATTTTTCCATCTTCTGCAGTATTTTTGTAATCAGTTTGGACACTCCTCAAGATAATTGCCTAATCCTATCAAAATACCAATGATGCTCTTCACAGAAAGAGAAAAAAAATCCTAAAATTCATATGGAACCACAATAGACCCAGAATAGCCAAATAAGTATTGAGCAAAAAGAACAAAGCTAAAGGCATCAATCACATTACCTGACTTCAAATTATACTGTATAGTAACCAAAACAGCATGATACTGGCATTAAAAAAAACAACACATAGACCAATGGAACAGAATAGAAAGCCCAAAAATAAATCTACTTATTTATAGTCAATTCTTTTTTGACAAAGTCACCAAGAACATACATTGGGGAAAGGACAGTTTCTTTAATCAATGGTGCTGGAGAAACTGGTTATCCATATGCAGAAGAATAAAAGTAGACCCTTATCTCTCACCATATATACAGATCTAATCAAAATGGATTAAAATACCTGAAACTATGAAATTACTGGAAGAAAACATTGGAGAAATGCTTCCAGACATTGACCTGGGCAAAGATTTCTTTAGTAAGAACTCAAAAGCACAGTAACCAGAGCAAAAACTTAAAGATGGGATTACATCAAGCTAAAAAGCTTCTGCACAGCAAAGGAAGCAATCAACTAAGTGAAAGACAACCTACAGAATGATCGAAAATATTTGCGTACTATGCATCTGACAAGGGGTTTGTATTTAGAATATATGAGGAACTCAAACAACTCAATAGCAAAACCCCCAAATAATCCAATGAAAAATGGGCAAAAGATATGAATAGACATTTCTCAAAAGATGACATACAAATGGCCAACAAGTATATGAAAAAATGCTCAATGTTGCTAATCATCCGTGAAATGCAAAACAAAACCACTGAGAGATATCATCTCACTTCAGTTAAAATGGCCGTCATTAAAAAGAAAGGAAGTAACAAATGCTGGTGATGATGTGGAGAAAGGGGAATGCTCGTACACTATAGGTGAGAATGTAAACTAGTACAACCACTATGGAAAATAGTTTGTAAATGACTCAAAAATCTAAAAATAAAAATACCATATGATCCAGAAATTCCACTGCTGAGAATATATCTAATAAAGAAGGAAATCGGCGTATTGAAGATATACCTGCACTCCCATGTTTTATTGCAGCACAATTCACATTAGCCAAGATACAGAATCAACCTATGTGTCCATTAATGGATAAATAATAAAGAAAATGTGGTTCATTGAAATATTATTCTACCATAAAAAAGAATGAAATCTTGTTACTTTCAGCAAGGTGGATGGAACTGAAGGACATTATGTTAAGTGAAATAAGCAAGGCACAGAAAGACAAATATTGAATGTTTTCACTCATGCGTGGGAGCTAAACAAATTGATTTCATGGTGGTAGTGAGTAAAATGGTGGTTACCAGAGGCTGGGAAGGGCAGTGGGGGGAGGGGATAAAGAGGGGTTATTTAATGGGCGCAAATACACAGTTAGAGGGAATATGTCGTGTTTGGCAGCACAAAGGCGTGACTATAGTAAACAATAATTTTTTTTTCTTTTATTATTATACTTTAAGTTTTAGGGTGCATGTGCACAATGTGCAGGTTAGTTACATATGTATACATGTGCCATGCTGGTGCGCTGCACCCACTAACTTGTCATCTAGCATTAGGTATATCTCCCAATGCTATCCCTCCCCCCTGCCCCCACCCCACAACAGTCCCCAGAGTGTGATATTCCCCTTCCTGTGTCCATGTGATCTCATTGTTCAATTCCCACCTATGAGTGAGAATATGCGGTGTTTGGTTTTTTGTCCTTGCGATAGTTTACTGAGAATGATGATTTCCAATTTCATCCATGTCCCTACAAAGGACATGAACTCTATCAAAATAACTGGAAGAGTATATTTGAAATAATCCCAACACAAACAAATCATAAGTGTCTGAGGTCTGGTATCCCAATTACCAGATCTGATCACTATACATTGTATCCTTTTATGAAAATGTGACATGTATCCCATTGATATATACAACTGCTCTGTATCTATAAAAAATTAAAAAGAAAAAAAGAGAAAATTTCCAGAATGCGTCATAGCAGCAGTGGATGTAGAAACAAGGAAAAAGGAAAAGAATTGCTATGTTGTACCCAGGCTAGACCTATGTGTTCCCAATTATCAGAACATCTCCTACCTAATCAAATGTTTTTAATATCCATCAAAAATAGTTGAAGGTCTCCTATTGCTCCTGAGCATAGCAATGCAAACATTTGGCAGTGTTCACCCAAAGAACATGGGCCAGAAATGCCAGATTATTTTATTTTGTCTGTGTTCTCTCTCTCATTATTCTCCCTTGCTTTACTGACCTATTATCTCCTGCCTACTCTGTGTCACATCTTCAAGCAGGCTTCCATTGAAATCCTCCTGTCCCTTCTCCACCATCACTTCCCAATTTTATCATTCCTCATATTCATCCCAGATTCTTGTTCCTTGTCTCCTTTCCTGGACAACACTGGAATGAGTAACTGACTTCTAATTATTCTGTTTTAAATTTTCCAGTTCAGAGAATTCACAATTTGAATCCAACCCCCGGGACAGGGAGGTTGGCTGAAGTCTTGTTATGCCAAGTATGGCTTGAGGACTAGCAGCATTCGCATCATATGGGAGATTGGTAGAAATATACAAGCTCAGATTTTACTACAGACGTTCTGAATTAGACTCCATTTACCCGCATTTTAACAAGATTTCCTATGTAATTGTTTCTGCACATTGAAGCATGAGAAACACTGGACTAGACTTAAAGAGTGTAATTGGATTGGTCCTCAAACTTATTTTTAACAGCGCATCTTTCTCAAGAAAATAAACAGAGTACATTTACCTCAAAATATGAATGTAGCTGAATGTCACATTGGGAGTTTCAACTGAGGAACAAGGATACAGCACATACAACGTTCCAAAGTGTGTCCGCTGTACTAAATTCAAATTTTCAAAGAAAATAAAAGACTGCTAATTTTCTCAAATCCTGAAATCTTTTAAGGGTATTAAAGAGCAGACTTTGAAAAGTAAATTTGTGAGATTTCTCTGGAGGAAGCTGTTGTCATGCTATGATCTCACCCGCTATCCCCATCAGTCCCAAGGTAGAGAGTTGGAGATGGCATGATCCCACCTCAATCCTGAAGAGAAGGATTTGAATGAAGCCAAGACGCTCATCTGTGTTTCTTGGGATTTTCAGAGTTCAGTGGACTGGACTATCACTACTGAGAAGCAAACCATAAAGTCAGGTCAGATGTGATGGTGAGCTCTTTGGTGACAAAACAAAGGAAAAGTGACTGTACAGAAATCAGCCTGCCCTCCAAGAGTTTGACAAGAGGAAATAATGAATGTTTTCCTTAGTCCACAAGCAAAAGAAAGCTGGAGACAACTTGACTCTGGCCCAAGAAACCCAATACAGAGGGTAAGGAGACTGCTAAATGTAAATTCCAGAAGTCAGTCAGAAACATCCATTGATTACTTAAAGATGAGTCTATGAAACTCACTGCAATAAGGGAGAAGACCTATGTATCAAACACAGCAAAGTTGATTAGACTTACTGTAGTAAGAGAGACCTCGTGTAAGGGAGTCTTAAGAAAAGGGAAGTCAGGAGAGAATATTTACAGAATTTTAGAATCTGGGTTTGGTGATTTTAAGGCTGATCTTGTGAAGAAGGGAACTGTTTAATATCGGGCACAGTTTATGACATAAAAGCTTTGGGTTACTTTAGTGGATTCAGTCTTACGTTCCCAGAGAAACTATTTCCTGGAGCAAGTAGGTAAATTATATATTTTTTATTCTCAGTAAGTGGCCTTTTATGACAAAATTTCCTAGGGTTGAGGGGAGATGTGAATGGCAAATTATTGCTAATGGATATGGGCTTATTTTACGGGTGATGAAGAAGTTCTGAAATTAGATTGTGTTGATGGTTGCATAACTATGTGAATATACAACAAACATTGAATTATACAATATAGCAGAATGAATTTTATGGTATGAGAATTACATATCAACAAACCTGTTATTAAATACATATATACGTAGTAAGTTAGATTATGAGCGTGTGTGTGTCTCTAAATGTTTATGTGGTAGCAACTACTGATGGTCACTAGTCAACTCTGAGAGGGCCAGGACATTATAGACCTATCTATTTGTTTTTAAAAAAGAGCATAATAGCTCTAATGTCAACTATGCTTTTTCTTGTGCTGTGTCAGGAGTTAACCTCTGTGGAGGAACAAAAGATTTGCATCAAAGACATAAATACTTTGGAAAACCGAAGCCTTGTATTAATTTTTTAATGTTTAATTTTTGTAGGTACATAGTAAGTGTATATATTTGTGGGGAACATTAGATGTTTTGATATAGGGAAGCAATGCATAATAATCACATCATGGGAAATTGAGTATGTATCCCCTCAAGTATTTCACCTTTGTGTTACAAATAATCCAATTATACTCATTTACTTGCTTTAAAGTGTACAATTAAATTATTTTGACTACAGTCACCTCGTTGTTCTATCAAATACTAGGTACTAATAATAACATCATGGAAAACAGGGTATCCATAACTTCAGCAGTTATCCTTTCTGTTACAGACAATCAAATTACACTCCTTTAGTTGTTTAAAAATGCACCATTATTATTGACTATAGTCACCTGTTGTGCTATCAAATAGTAGGTCTTATTCATTCTTTCTAACTATTTATTTTGAACACATTAACCATCTCCACCTCCCTGGCAACCCCTCACTACTCATTCTAGCATCTGGTAATCATTCTTCTACTCTGTCCATGAGTTCGATTGTTTTTATTTTTAGATCCCACAGATAAGTGAGAACATGTGGTTTCTCTTTCTGTGCCTGGTTTATTTCACTTAACATAATGACCTTCAGTTCTAACCATGTTGTTGCAAATTACAGGATCTCATTGGTTTTTATGGCTGAATAGTAGTTCATTGTGTATATGTACCACATTTTCTTTATCCATTCATCTGTCGTCAGACACTTAGGTTGCATCCAAATCTTGGCTATTGCAAACAGTGCTACAACAAACATGAGAATGCAGATATCTCTTAAGTATACTGATTTCCTTTCTTTTGGGTATATACTCAGCAGGGGGATTGCTTGATCATATGGCAGTTCAATTTTCAATTTTTTGAGGAACCTCCAAACTGTTTTCCATAGTGGTTGTACTAATTTACATTCCCACCAACAGTGTAAAAAGGATCCCTTTTCTCCATAACCTGGCCAGCACTTGTTATTGACTGTCTTTTGAATATAAGCCATTTTAACAGTGGTGAGATGATATCTTATTGTAGTTGTGATTTCCATTTCTTTGATGATCAATGATCGTGAGCACCTTTTCATATACCTCTTTGTCATTTCTATGTCTTTTATTGAGAAATCTCTATTCAAAATTTTGCCCATTTTTTACCGGATTATTATATTTTTTCTCTATAGGGTTGTTTGAGCTCCTTATGTATTCTGGTTATTAATCGCTGATCAGATGGATAGCTTGCCAATATTTTCTCCCATTCTGTGGGTTATCTCTTCTCTTTGTTTACTGTTTCCTTTGCTGGTCAGAAGCTTTTTAACTTGTAATCCCATTTGTCCATTTTTGAGATGGTTGTCTGTGCTTGTCGGGTACAGCTCAAGAAATTTTTGCCCAGATCTATGTCTTGGAGATTTTCATCAATGTTTTCTTGTAGTAGTTTCATAGTTTGAAGTCTTAGATTTAAGATTTTAGTCCATTTTGATTTGATGTTTGTATATGATGAGAGATAGGTGTCTAGTTTCATTCCTTTGCATATGGATAACCAGTTTTCCTAGCACCATTTATTGAAGACACTCTTTTCCCCAATATATGTTCTTAGCATCTCTGTCAAAAAATTAGTTCCCTGTAAATTTATGCATTGTTTCTGGGTTCTCTATTCTATTTCATTGGTCTATGTGTCTGTTTTTATGCCAATACCATGCTGTCTGGGTTACTATAACAATGTAGTATAATTTAAAGTTAGGTAATGTGATTCTTCCAGTTTCATTCTTGTTGCTTAGGATAGCTTTGGCTATTCTGGGTCTCTTATGGTTCCATATATATTTTAGAATTGTTTTTTCTACTTTTGTGAAGAATATCATAGGTATTTTCATAGGGATTGCATGGTCTCTGTAGATTGCTTTGGGTAGCATATACATATTAACAGTATTGATTCTTGCAATCTATGAACAAGGAACGACATTCCATTTTTTGGTATCCTCTTCAATTTCTTTCTTCAGTGTTTTATAGTTTTTATTATAGAGTTCTTTCACTTCTTTGGTTAATTCCAAAGTATGTAATTTTATTTGTGGCTACTGTAAATGAGATTACTTTTTAAAATTTCTTTTTCAAGTTGTTCATTGTTGGCATATACAAATGCTACTGATTTTTCTATGTTGATTTTGTATACTGCAACTTTACTAAATTTATTTAACATTTCTAATAGTTTTTTGTGGCATCTTTAGGTTTTTCCAAACATAAGATCATATCATCTGCAAATAAGAATAATTTGATTTCTTCCTTTCCAATTTTGATGCCCTTTATTTCTCTCTCTTGTCTGATTGCTCTATGTTAAATAATAGTGGTGACAGTGAACATCTTTTGCATGTTCTAGATGTCAGAGGAAAGGCTTTCAGTTTTTCCCCATTCAGTATGATACTAGCTGTGGTTCTGTCGTACATGGCTTTTATTATGTTGTGGTATGTTCCCTCTAAACTCAGCATTTTCAGGTTTTTTTAATCATGAAGGGATGTTGAACTTTATTAACTGCTTTTTCAGCATCAATTGAAATGGTCATATGATTTTTGTCCTTCATTCTGGTGATATGATATATCATATTTTTTATTTTCAGTTGTCGAACCATCTTTGCATCCCAGGGATAAATTTCACTTGGTCATGATGAATGATCTTCTTGTAATATTGTTGAATTCAGTCTGCTAGTATGTGGTTGAGGATTTTTGTATCAATATTCATTAGAGATATTGTCCTGTAGTTTTATATTTTACGGGTCTTTGTCTGGTTTTGGTATCAAGGTAATACTGTCCTTGTTGAATGAGTTTGGAAGTATTTCCTCCTCTTCTAATTTTCAGAATAGTGTAAGAAGAATTCACATTAATTCTGCTTTAAAAGTTTGGTAGAGGTCCAGGCGCAGTGGCTCACGCCTGTAATCCCAGCGCTTTGGGAGGCCAAGGTGGAAGGATCACAAGGTCAGGAGATCGAGACCATCCTGGCCAACATGGGGAAACCCTGTCTCTACTAAAAATACAAAAATTAGCCTGGCATGGTGGTGGGTGCCTGTAATCTCAGCTACTCAGGAGGCTGAGGCAGGAGAATCACTTGAAACCGGAAGGCAGAGGTTGTAATGAGCCGAGATCCCGCCACTGCACTCTAGCCTGGATGAAAGAGCGAAAATCCAACTAAAAAAAAAAAAAAAAGAAACAAAATGTTTGGTAGAATTCAGCAGTAAAGCCATTGGGTCTGAGACTTTTCTTTACTGGGAGACTCTTTACTATGGCCTCAATGTTGTTAGTTATTACTGGTCTGTTCTGGTTTTGGATTTCTCCCTGGTTCAATCTTGGTAGGTTTTATGTATCAAGAAATTGGTCAATTAAAAAAAAATCCACAACTTTTGCTTTCACTGATCTTTTGTATTGTTTTCTTCATTTCAAATTCATTTATTTTTGCTGTAATCTTTATTATTTCCTTTCCTGTATGAATTTTGGATTTGGTTTTCTCTTGCTTTTCCAGTTTTTAAAGATGCATCATTAGATTGTTTATTTGATGTTTTTCTTCTTTTTTGATGTAGTCACTTATAGCTATAAACTTCCCTCTGACTAATGGCTTTGCTCTACCACATAGGCTTTGGTATGTTGTGTTTCCTTTATCATTTGTTTCAAGAAATTTTTCAATTTATCTTAATTTCTTCACTGACCCACAGACTGGTACCTGTTAGCACTCTTTGGAAATAGCTATTCAACATAACTAATTATCAGGGAAATGCAAATCAAAACCACAATGTGATATCACCTCACTCCTACAAGAATGGCCATTATTAAAAATAAAACAAAAATAGATGTTGGTGGGGATGCAGTGAAAAAGGGAACAATTTTACACTATTGGTGGGAATGTAAACTAGCACAACCACTATGGAAAACAGTGTGGAGATTTCTTAAAGAACTAAAAGTAGATCTACCATTTGATGCAGCAATCCCACTACTAGGCATCTACCCAGAGGAAAAGAAGTCATTATACGAAAAAGATATTTGCATACGTGTTTTTATAATAGAACAATTTGCAATTGCAAAAATATTAAACCAGCCCAAATGCTCATGAATCAACAAGTGGATAAAGAAAATGTGGCATATATATACAATGGAATACTACTCAGCCATAAAAAAGAAAGAAATAATGGCAGTCATAGCAACTTGGATGGAATTGGAGACTATTATTCTAAGTGAAGCAACTCAAGAAAGGAAAACCAAACATCGTATGTTCTCACTCATATGTGGGAGCTAAGCCATGAGAATGCAAAAGTGTAAGAATGATACATTGGACTTTGGGGATTTGGGGAAAATGTCACAGGGTGGCAAGGAATAAAAGAGTACACATTAGGTACAGTGTACACTGCTTAGGTGATGGGTGCACCATAATCTCAGAAATAACCACTAAAGAACTTATTCATGTAACCAAACACCGCCTTAAAAAGTAAATAAATAAAAAAGAAAAATTGATGATATATCAAAAAAAAATCAGTTGTACAATAAAGAAGAATTACCTTAAAATTCATGTGAAAAAAAACCCCACAACCAACCAACCAACCAACCAATACAACAAACAAAACATCCTGGATTTTAGTTCTGTCAAAGCTCAATACAAGTCAAGTATAATTTGGCAACTGAGAAACTCTTAGGTTGCTATAATAGTAATATGAAATATTAGATTAATGTGAAATATCATATTAATATGGAATCTTAGATAAGCTTTGTTGAATCTATCCTGGCATTAGAATTAGTGATTCACTAGGAAATTGTTGAGGGGAGTTTTATTTCTACTACCCAGAGTATGTTTCTTTTCTCAATGTAAAAGAGTTTATAGTTCATGTGTTCCTGCCATAATTGAATCAAAAAGCATTCTTACACATAATTTGACTTCTCCAATAATATTTTTAAAATATTGGTTGAGTGCGGTGGCTCACGCCTCTCAGCACTTTGGGAAGCCAAGGCGGGCGGATCACCTGAGGTCAGGAGTTCAATGCCAGCCTGGCCAATATGGTGAAACCCCCTCTCTACTAGAAATACAAAAATTAGCCAGGTGTGGTGGTGCACACTTGTAATCTCAGCTACTTGGGAGGCTGAGGCAAGAGAATCACTTGAACCCAGGAGGCAGAGGTTGCAGTGAGCCAAGATCACGCCATTGCACTCCAGCCTGGATGACAGAGTGAGACTTGGTCTCAAAAAAAAGAAAGAAAGAAAGAAATATTAAGCAAGTATTTTTAGAAAATGCACAATATAGATCCTAGACTGTGACCCTCAAGTGTACTATTTTACTCATCTTGAACTCAATACTTTACTGATGCTTACAGTATATTATTAACATATTCATCACCATATTTGCTGATGATTCAAAGAAAACTATTGTCTCTTGTTAGAAAATAATTTTCACTTACAGAAGGAAAACGACATTAAACCAAGGAAATCAATTTTACTTTAGAAACAATAAGATGTTGGAGGAAATAGTTTGTCAGTTGATAACATTATGAAAACCTGAAACATCCTATAATGGAAATGAACAAACAGACATGGCTGCCACTCTTGACTATGTAAATTTATGAGGAGTTGTTTCACATCTATTTTTCATGGTAGATAGATGTGACTTTATTATTTTATTGTGCTGGTTTCCTAATTTCCTAAGCACAAGGTAACGATCACCAGTGACTAGTGGATGATACATACAAAAATAGAAACAATAGAAATTATCTATGAGAAGGATGTGGAATAGGAAAATTTAAGGACTGTAATTCGAAACTAGTGATAGTATTATTATTCAAAATAATAGCTTCATTTGTTTTGAGCAACTATTATTTCCAGACACAAAGCCAGGTCCTTTAAAATGCAGCTTTGCTTTGTATTTTGATAAACATGATCTCAAATGTTGCCTACACTATTACCCAAAAGCAAGTACTCTGTTTTGATGAGTATAAATTATCCTGGATGGTTTTCCAGAAAAAAGGAACACTTTTAACAATCTGTATCAAAGACAGATTACTCTAATGTGGATATAATTAAGAGAGAATGACCAACCATCCAGTGAAATATCTGAAAATTGAATTTGAAAATTAATTAAATGATAATAAAAGCCTATTATAAAATGCAAAAAAATGATTAAAACTAACTGGGTTAGAAGTATCTTGCTAAATCACAGGGCTTGGAGAAAATTCTCTACAGATACAACATAAAGGGCAAAAAAAGAGTTTCTCTGTTATTCTTGGTCTGGTGAGTTCACTGATGCCCATCATGAGGTTGGAAATGGGAAAGTGACCTACTAGCATGTAAGGCAGCCTAGTGAGGTGCAAGAATCACTGAACTAGAAGTCAATAGTTCTTGGTCCTTGCTCGCTGTTTCACTTTGAGGAAGTTATTTCTCTTCTTTGAGCCTTAGCTTTTTCATTCATAAAATAAAGGAATTGGAATAAATGATGGTCGAGGTCTTTTTATGTTCCAAAATACTGTAATTACTAGATAACTAAATGCATTTTTATTGTCTTGCATTCATATTTTACACATTTATTGTGAAATATTGATTTATCTATTACAGCAGTTTGGCCTATCCCAAGATGAGGGGAATTTAATTAATAAATGGAATAAATAAAATGCTTTTAGACTTGCTTTTCATACAGTTTTGAAATTGGCATGCACTCCTAAAACACAGATGGGAACGGTATCTCTGTCTCTGTCTCTCTCTTTCTCTCTCTCTCTCTCTCTCACACACACACACACACACACACACACACACACAAAAGCACACACATACATCTCTACCTTCATTATCCGTATCATTTCTGATTATATCCGGCAACTAGAAGGCAGTCTCAGCATATATAGCAGTCATGACCTCAGATATCTTCTATTTTGAGGCACCAGGCTGTCCAGGAGTCAAGACAGTGAAACAAGTCAGCAATAATATACTAAATGCCTGCCTGAGTCTGACCTGCACCAGGAGATAGGAAAGACAAATATGGCAAGAGTACTTCCTCTTTAGGAGCTTATATAGAAACTAAGTGTTAGATAAACTGGAGCCCAAGACTCTTCTGTATCTGATTCCATTATAACTCTCTTTAACCATCTGATTAAATCAAGGGTGTCAATATCTCTGAAGACTATGTAGACCCTGTGCACAGGGAGAAAAAATGTTTTTATCTCCATATGGCTCATGAGGAAACATTTAGTGTCATAAGCACCTTGCTGCTACATTGTGTCAAATCTTTGGCTTGAGGTAACAGGACAAGCAGTATCTTATCACCTGGAGCTGAAAATAGAACAGCCTAGTTTTCATCAGAGGAAATAGTGGCCCATGACTCAGAGTTCTAGATCAAAGGTCTGTCACTAGTTGGAGCATGTTTAGACATATAATCTCCATTTAGTGTTACGTCTTAATTGACAAACATGGAATAATGCTGCTGCCTGACCTGGCAACAGGGTAGATAGAAGTGGCTATTAAAATTCATTACATTGTTGGAAGTGAAGAGAGGGACACATTGATTCTGTACATTGAGTTTAAACTGAAAGATATAACTTTTTCTGGTTTCTCTAATACATGATTTTTGAAATAAGCCATTAAGAAAGTTGATGGAACATTTGTGTAACATCAGATGTTAATTTAATCTTAAGTAAAGTGACTTTCTTCCATCACATAGTAGAAAATGACAATTGCGGTTAATGAACTGTGGATCCACTTTGGAAATAATAATTTTACTTACCTTCCAGCCACTAATTTAAGTGCTTATCAATTAGTTATTACGTACCCTGAATTTTAGTCAGTAAGATTTACTTCACTTATTAAAATTCAAAAGAACCAATAAAGAATTATTTGAGAATTACTTCAGTAATATTTTAGGAAAAGTAATGGTTATTTTTGACATGATATATAGTGCATAATTTTGTCTTTTTAGTTTATAATTGCATCTGGATAGGCAAATAAAATAACTGACAGCAAAAATAAAACTTGTTAATGCCATGTCATCAGCAATTTTTGTGAAACAAGCATTGGAGAGCAACAAAACTAGTCAGAGGCCTGAGGTATTTTTGCACTGTCACTTAACATAGAAATAGCCATCCAAATTTTGTTTCTATAACCTCGAGGAAATCTAAAAACCTTCAGCATTCATCAAATGATGACTTCACTGTTGCCTCATTAAAGCCTTGGGTGTCAAAATGTACAATGATCAAGATTGTGAGTGCCATTATTTGTCATATTTTCAGGATTTTCTGATTTGCATGTAGTACCTGCACATATTCATGTAACATTAGAGAAATCCACTATCCCACATGCTTCTATTGGGCATTATCTATTATAATACAATCTATTAAATAAGATATTATTCAATTCTTTTTATTTTAATATTATTAGCTCTATATTTGTTTGCTTCATAAGAAGGCATTTTTTTCAAAAGAACTTAATGACTGAATGGTCCTTAAATTACAAGCCACACAGCTAGCACACAATCCAAACCTCAGGAAACCATGGTGTGAAAAAATGAATTTACAGCAAATCATCCAAAGCCTGGAGCAGTGAATCAATGTACAGGGAGAGCATAGCACTTGACCTCTTCCCAATTTCCTTTCGTCATGTCCAGTGTTTGTTTATTCTCTGCTAAAGTGTGCTGAGCCATGTTGGCAAATACTATCATGGGATGTTTCCATTGTTTATTGTGTGGCATAAAGTTTCTTTCAAAATAAAAGCAAGACCCTCTCTGTTGCAGCTCTGGAATGTTTCTCATCACTGGAAGTGTGGGGTCTGACTTACTCTTTATACCTAATTTCTGCTACTTTCTGGGCTGGTACGGGGAAAGTCTGCAGATTTGGTTTGTAGAATCTAAAAGTTTTTAAGACAAAGAGATCATTTGGTTCAATAATTCATATCCAGCTTAAATCTGTTACACAACAGGAGTGGAGGGAAGAAATACGAGGAAGAGTACATTTTATTGTTGCTGCTGCTGCATGAGTCGGGATCTATGAGTAGTGTTGTGTTGGGTGCTATATGCATGAGACAGACACAGTTTCAAATCCCAGCTCTACAATTGACTATTTCTGCGATGTCGGGCTCGCAGCCTCCTTAGGTTTCAGTTTATTCACAGACTAAATGTTGTTAATTCCTGCCTCTCAGGGTTGTGTAGGGTTAACTGAGATCATGAGTGTATAGCACTTAACATTGTACATGGTACATAGTTACAGGCTGTGGTTATTGTTCAGTAAATATTCTTTATGATGACGGTCATGATGAAAACTGCTGATAATTGTGTATTGGAGGATCACTGGAAATTTTCTTCATTCCTGATAGACTATGGCACGGTGCTGTTAGCAGGTTAAAAAAAAAAAAAGGATGTTGCCAAGTAAAAGTGCAAAGATCACTTTATGTGGTCGACCTCCATCCAGTACATATTGTTGGGGTTCAGATTGTTTTTGCTGTGGTTACTAGAGAAGCTTCTGGGGGAAAAGACACTGTATTCCAGTTCAAATTGAGACCCAGTGTGTCTGTGCTTTGAGAAATTTGTTCTGATGACCCATGAGGTATGAGTCACGTTTGTTCTCATGACTAGGCTGGCGAAAATTCATGTGTTGGAATCATGGCTAGACAAGAGGGTGAAAGCATGCAAGGTGTTCTCTGCTTTTAGATTTCTGGAGACAGTGAGAATTTTCTGCTCAGCAGTATAATGAAGGAGGTAGCAAACTAGATAATTCTTCAAAAAGACTGATCTGGAGCTCAAACTTCACAAAAAAGCCCCAGCTGTGACAGCTTTATTAGTACTCCTCACGTTCCTGAGCCTTAGTGTCATCAGCTTCCAGGAGATATTCCCAACCTGCCTGTCTATTTAAATAAAATAAATATGTGCTTAGAATCCACAAAACTCTGAACTAACACAGTGTGTCTAATATTTGTGCTAGTGTTACTGTATAACAACAGAGGTAAATCTGCAGGCAATAAAAGAAAAAAGAAGAGGACAATAATATCAGGGGAATAAGAACAAATGCGTGATCCAGGAAAAGCTATGCCTCAGAGAAGAAACAATAATATTTTATGGGAACTGCGTGGCATGTAACATAGTGATTCCCTATTCTGATTCTCTTTAGTGGACTCATTTAACACTTATACCTACAGACCTGGACCATGATCCATGTCCTGAAGACAGACTTGTTCTATTCATTTTCATTCTCAGATGCACCAGGAAGTAGCTCAGCAGCACCACACCAAGTTATATAATCACAACTCTGTTAAATAACTGATGTTCAACATACGCACAAAGCAAGATAAGTGCTATGGCAAATGATCAGTGGAAAAGTAGCCACAAGGTGGAACCAGAGGGAAGGTTGGAAGCAACAAGACTCCCCCCTAAAGGCTGCCAATTCAATAGGATCTATAGCTACTTGCCAAGATAGCTGATTCAGGTTAACTCTGATTGGTTAAAAATACTCTTTGGATATGGAGATTTAACCAGCTGTAAATCTACCTAATTATTCTTAGCTCATGTCTACATTTTCTCCAAATGATTCTGTTAGGTACATCTCATATGTCTTATTGCAATCAAGAAATAATGCCAACAACTTTCACTTAGAATACTAATGTACTGATACTCCATAAAAAGGACATAAAGTTATTTCAGTGTGACTTGTTTTCGATGAACCCACAATGTCTCCTTTGTAATCGTATTTATTCCATACAAGATTTGGGCACTTTCAGAATCTCCTGCTATAAATTGTTTCCTGGGATTCTCCAACTTTTAGAAAATTATAATAATGTTTCTTTTTCATTCGAATTCTAGAGAGAATATTCGAATGTCCTTTTGAATTTCTTCTGTAATATCAATTAAGTTGGGCAGTAAATGTAGAATTAATTATTATAGTAAGTATTTAAAATCATCTCCTACCTTTTCTACTCTCATATAGTTCAATTTATCCAACCTGTTATTGTATTTAGTCTTAGTATATGGAAGTGTTTTGCTGGCCCTAGAAATCGTGAATGAGCATTGCATTATGGACGCTTTCATAATGAGTTTTGTGAATGAGCATTCCTATTATGCCTTGTGTAGATGTACTGAACTACAAGCTCCTCTGGGTCTGTAATATTAGGAAGCTATTTTGAGACTGTGATGGTTGGAAGGTGAATAAGAAGGAAATATGTAGTGTGGTTGCTGAAACTAGTATTCAAAGTATCATAAAATTCCCTAGTGTATTCAACCTGATGTAATTCATAAATGCAGCAAGAGCATATGGGAAGGGGCCACACTTACGGCCAGATAGGTGCAAGCATTGTGGTTCATGGAAAGCTTTTTGCTGAAAACAAAAGATGGAGCTCCACATCTAGGGGTAGAAAAAAGACAGGCGTTTAGAAATTTAGCAGGAATCAAGGCCTCATTCGGAGTTTCTTAGCCCACAGAAATTGGATTGTTTTCAGTGTACTTTAGCAGAAGACCTTTTAGGAGAAAGGATATAAATAATAAACATAAGGGATCAGGTGAAAGGTCAGTGTATTGGGCATAAAGTGCCAAAAACATACTAAGGTCCAGTATTTACACTATCAAGTGACTACCTTCTTTGTTCCGTATCCCTACCCTGGGATACCTTCTCTCCAGGTCCCTGAACCCCTCCATTTGGACACAGCAGCTTTCAGACACATGTTGGGCCATGCCAGGTGTACACTCATGTACTCATAGGCCTAGCATCCCGCATGCCTAGCCACAAATATACATAACTCTTCCTAGATATTTAAAGATAAGCCAGCCATATATACCCGTTAAAGAAATTATATGAACATAAATATATATACCCATAGTCATGTTACACAGGCATGTTAATACAAACACAGAAATTTACAATCAATCACCATATACATGTGCAACATACATTTATCAATTTGGCTTAAGGCAGAAAACCTTTTGCTACAGGTATGGGTAGATTTCTATGTTCTCTGAAGTTTGCTTAACTTTGGCTCAGATCTGAGCAACGTGTCTCCAAAAGAAAAGTGATTTACTCTATCTACAGTTGGGCAAGCTCTTATGAAGCATGATGATTTTAGATAAATGCTGCCATTTCCTACATATAATTGATACACTTTTGAAAGAGTTTTGATTTATATTCTGTTATCCATTCTGTTTTCTAGAAACACACTGTTTAAATAACTATATAATAAATTCGAGCAACATGAAAAAATATTTTCACCCCAGAAATAGATTATTTGTGTGATATTTTAAGAAAATGTACTCATTCTACTTGGAATAGTAATGTCAACAGGGAAAATGTGGTGATGGGAGAGTTCCATTTTCATTTTTGACAGAGTAACTTATTTCAAAACAACTCTACCATTGAGCATAGCTATAAAAGCTAAGCAAAATAGAAAAGAACAGCTATGTAAAAGCATCAGAAAGCAATAAAAGAAGTGAGAACTTGTGAGGCCAAGGTCCTGTGGGTAATAAAATACATTGAGATTGACCAAATCTTTTCTGTTTCTCTCCCTTTAGAGTCAAATTTTTATGAATAAATAAACAAAACTTGCTGGAGTTTCTTTGGGATTGAAGAACAACATTCATGAACTTGACCTAGTTGACATATACAACACTGTTCCGTAGTTACAATATATACTCTTTTCTAGTGTACTTGGAAAGTTATCAATATTAACCATATTACAGACCATGAAACAAGCTTTGACACAATTTAAAGGGATGATGTTTATTGCAGAGAGTAGAATTAAATAAAAAATCAGTATCAAAAAGATAAACAGAAAAATTCCTTAATATTTGATATTAAACTGTATAGTTATAACTAAATTGTATCAAACAAGAATGACAATGGATATTTTAAGTTGCTGTGAAATAAATGGTAACATAGTTGGCATATAAAAATATGTGGCATGCAACTAAAGACATTAATAAATAAAAATTCATAGACTCAAGTATAAATATTAGAAAATAAGACTGAAAATTAACAATCTATATATTTAGATGAGGACAGGAAATTAACCCAAAGAATTAGAAGAAAAAATAATGATACATGCAGAAATCCGATAAATAAGAAACAATTATAAAATGAAATCAACAAAACCAAAGTTGGTTCTTTTAAAAACAACATTAGGCCCAGCGTGGTGGCTCACACCTGGAATCCCAGCACTTTGGGAGGCCGATGTGGGCGGATCATGAGGTCAAGAGATCAAGACCATCCTGGCCAACATGGTAAAACCCTGTCTCTACTAAAAATACAAAAATTAGCTGGGCGTGGTGGTGCACACCTTTAGTCCCAGCTACTCAGGAGACTGAGGATGGAGAATCGCTTGAAACCGAGAGGCGGAGATTGCAGTGAGCTGAAATCACGCCACTGCACTTCAGCCTGGCGACAGAGTGAGACTCCGTCTCAAAAAACAAAAAACAAAAAAAATTAATCAAAGAGAGGAGGCACAAATAATAAGTATAAAGATTAAAAAGAAGATATTACTACAGATTTTATTGATATTAAGTGATTATAGAAAGATATAAGCAATATTATGATAATAACTTAATTGACATAATTTAACAAAAATGAATAAGAATAAAGGGAAAGTCAATTGTTTCTATATCTAATAAATGTGTCTGTAATTCAAAACCTACTCTCAAAGCAAATTCTGAGTTCAATTGGCTTCACCAGTAATTTCTTTCCAAATAAATAAGGAACAAATTAAATGACACCAATATTATATAAATTCCACCAGAAAGTGAGCAAGATTTCCAAAGTTCTACAAAGCCAACATAACCCAATGTCAAAATCTGACAGGGACACTATGAAATGATAATTACCTCCCAAACTCACTCATGAACACAGATGCTGAAAAACTAAACAATATGGATTTGATTTTTTAAATATATTGCTTAGTTTTTCTGCACCTGTGTTCATAAATGTAGATAGTGGAACTCCCTGGTGACTTCACCTTCCAGATTATTACAAATAGCTTGCTGAAAAAGCCTCCAAACCTTTCTATACAAATCCAAAATGTTCTGCAATTTTTTCGTGCAACATATCTCACTCATTTTTCCATGTCAGTATGTACAGATCCACCTAATGCATATTAATGTCTTTAATTTGGATTTGGACATCTTTTATCTCTTCTACTGATGGATATTTTGGCTGCCCTCAATCTTCCACTGTTAAAAACAATGTGATAATAAACATTCTTGTATATGTCATTTTGTACATAGAAGAAAATAATCTTCAGATTAAATTACTTGAGGTAGAAATATACAGTAAACTAGAATTAATCTTCCTAAAAATTATTTTACTATCTCCTCTTTAGGTTTTATTACTCCCACCTCTGATCTTTAAGGATTTTTTCTGACCATGGCTTTGTCAAACTGTCTATAAGACATTTTAACATCTTGCTAACCCTTCCCAATTGTATTTTTAATTATAACCTTCACATGAGTCAAGTTCACAAACTTGCCTGATCTCAAGCTGTGTCTTCACAGAGTTACTGATGAAAATATTTTAAGCATCAACCACAGAATTACTATCAAAGTCAATATAACTGTTTTTCTAGCTCGTATATTATGCTGAATACGGACATTCTTCTTGCTGGATATGGCTTAAAATGTGAATTTCTCTGTTCCAGATTATTGGTTAGGCTACTGAATATTAAATCATTAATTTTATTCATTTATTAAGTAATTCTCTTAGGGCACATGTTTTTTTCATGAAGGCACAATTTCTAGCAAAGATCTAACCTACAGTTCCAGGAATTTCAATCAGAAGGAGGAAATAAAATCTAAAATAAATAAATTTAAATATTTACTTAATATGGGAATTTTATGTTCAATGACAATTTAATCACCTTATTAAATAATCATCTTATTTAATATTGCATTTAAATAAAACACTTTGATTATGATATCAAAATGTTGTGGCCATATTTTTCTCTGCCTTACCCTTGATAGGAGAGTCTCGATAATTTCCATGGGCTTAGCGGGGCTAACATTCACCAGTCAGTTTTTTTGTGCATAACTTAACAAACAGTTGTTGTAAAATATTGACCTTATATTTGCATACACGGTGTCCCAATCTACCTCACAATGACTTTCTAGTCTAAAAATATATTGTTACTGGAATGATTTGGACACAGGCCCTTCCTCATATTTATGTCTCTGTCTGGTAGTTTTATATCTCTTACCCATGAGGTTTGGTCTCCCACCTAGAGGTACACTTCCTTCCCTAATTCTGCCCTCGAAATATTCCTTTCTTTACCCTCAGAGCTTCCAGGTTGCATCTTTTGACCCTGGTCTCGGTTCCTCTCCACACACAAATACCGGTTTGGAAAGGTGTCTTCATTGGCCAAACAAATGAAAACAGGGGTGATATGGAGGGAGAAAATGAGAGTGGCCCTGTAGAGAAGCTCTTTCCTCTATTCACAATCACTTTCATTTTACTAAGCCCCATTTCCCATATGCCTGGCACAGCCTTTCTTGCAGAGCCCATTCCTCTAAACTGTTGCTAAATCCTAATTCAGTGTTTTCTACACACAAACATTAATTTATTTCTTATGGGTGACCTCCTTAAATAGTCTCTTTGAAAAAAACTTTAGGGAAAATACAGGCAGATATGTCTCCCTTGTCAAAGACAAGAGGACACTGACTCTAACCTTTTTGCACATTTCACTGTACTTTATTTATTAAAATGCTAGCTGTGAAAACCGTCAGAACTCTAATATGCTGGTTCCAAAATTACCAGAACAGTAGCATGAAGCACCAAGGTTTTCAAAGTGCCAGGGAAATAATAATCCAAATAAAAAAGAACAGACCTTTATTTGGGTAATGTGTAAGTCCTTTGCCTACTACATGTGGGAAATATTTTTCATTTTATTTATCCTTTGTCTTTGTCTTTTTGTTTAGTTTTACTCCTGATAAGTTTTAAATTTATAAGCAGTAAAATTAACCTCTTTTTATCATGAAATGCATAACATATATACAGAAAAATACAGGATATAGAAATGGAAAACTCAACAATTTGTCCCAAACTGACCACCAATGTCTGTTAACAGCACCAGGAAGCTCTCTTGTACCCTATCCCAACCAATATTCCATCTCTCCCTCTCCTGTAATGCCCAACCTCAGTCGGATGTTGGTAATAATAGTTGTTTTTTCCCCCTCATTGCTTTGATGCTTAAATGTACATTGCCACCATTAATTATACCTTTATACCTGCCTTAAACATTTTTATTTAAATAAATCAGATAGTATTTTGTGTCTAATACATTTTGCTCAACATTATGAGGCATCCATGTTGATTAATGGAGATCATTCACTTCCTTTTTTCATACTGTTCAATTGTGTTACTATACCATACTTGATTTAGCCATTATTAGGTTGTTTTCATATATTTGTTACTATATTGATAGTGCCATGAACATTCATATATATGTTTACTGTTGTACATGTACAATGTCTTGACTTTTTTGGCCCTTTATATTTCCATATACATTTTAGAAACATATTTTCAGGTTTTATTAGAAAATGTATACACTTTTGGATCACATCACACCAGCAGATCAATTTGAAGAGAGCTAACATCTTTAGAACGAGTCTTCTAATTCATTAATGGGGTATGTCCCCCTACTTATTTATGTCTTAAATTATCTCTATATTATAGTTTCCTCCATAGAATTCTTGCAAACATTTTGTTACATTTAGTCATATTTTATACTTTTTGCAAAAATAATTATTGTACTGCAAATTTTTAAAATTTTATTTCCTGGTTGTATGTTACTTGTTCATAGAAATGTAATTACTTCTTTTTGTTGTTGTTTATTATTTTTTGAGATGGAGTCTCGCTCTGTCACCAGGCTGCAGTGCGGTGGCGCTATATTGGCTCACTGCAACCTCCGCCTCCCTGGTTCAAGCAATTCTCCTGCCTCAGCCTCCTGAGTAGCTGGGATTACAGGCCCGTGCCACTACGCCCAGCTAATTTTTGTATTTTTAGTAGAGATGGGATCTCACCATGTTAGTCAGGCTGGTCTCAAACTCCTGACCTCATGATCCACCTGCCTCGGCCTCCCAAAGTGCTGGGATTACAGGCATGTGCCACCGTGCCTGGCCAGAAATGTAATTCATTCTTATATGGTATAAGCTATACTATATAAATATTAATAAATAATATATGAATATTAATTAATCTTGAGAAATTCACTTAAATTTTTATTATTAAATTTCATAATTTATCTATAGATTGTTCTTTATTTTGATATAAATAGTTATATTATTGAAAAATAGTAAATATTTTTTCTATGAAATCCTTACAACATTTATTTATTTATTTTTGTTTTACCATCAAGGCCTTTGGTACAATGTTGAATGGAAGTGGTGAGAGTGAATATCTTTGCCTTGTCTTTTCCTCAAAGGGAAAGCTTTCAATACTTCACCATTAAGTATGATGTTTATGTAGGTTTTCAGTAGCTACTGTTTTTCAGATTAAACAAAGACTTCTTTGCTTTATTTCTAATTGATAAAACTTTATAAAAATCTTGATTGATTTTTAAATTTATCAAATGCTTTTTCTGTATTTATTGAGATGATACTAAAAATTTTTTCTTCTATGATTTCTCTTAACATAGAAATTCCATTGATGGGTTTTCAATATTAAACTAATATTAACCAATATTGCATTTTCTAACAGTGCTCAGAAAGAACTCCCCAACTCCAAGATGACAGTTTTTGGAGGCAGACTATCCATTTTTTCAGTACCTGTATTGTTTCTTCTTCACTTTCTCCTTCTCCTCCTTTTCTACCACTGCTGTTTTTATAGTGTTTGACTCCTCTAGATTTGTTTGGTGTAAAGAGTGAGGAAGGAAATAAGCTTGTTGTTCCAACCCATTTATTAATTAATGTATCTTTTCCCCTATTATTTGATATAAAACTTTTATAATATAGTGAATTCCTGTATACACATAGCTCTATTATTGGACTATAGTCTGTATAATTCTTTATTGTAGTATGTGGCTGCAGTAATACATGTTCATTATTCTTTTCTCATGTTTTCCTAAACATTCTCACCCATTTACTTTTCCACATTGACATGATATATAAATATCTTTCTATTTATATGGCCCATCTTCTTAGCTTAATGAATCATTTCTTGTAAGTTACATCTGTGATATAGCACATACATTGTAACTCATAAGAGAATCTTGACTATAAGTAATAATAAATGGACTATTTACTATATCACATCATGTAACAAAACTCTAAATAGTAGGTCGTTTCAGGGTTCAGTCAGTGACTTAATGGTATTATCTAAGATCCATCTTCCTTCTCTAGTAATCTCAGCTTGTTGCTGTAACATAGCAATATCAGTTACAGATACTGCATTCAAGTTAAAATATCTATAAAAAGAAATGTTCCTGTCTTGAAACCCTTTTTAAGGTAGAGTTGATTATAATTTTCCCATAAGTCCTTAAGTATGTGTTCTTTATACCACATTGATCAGAATTGCAACACATTGCTGAGCAGCTAGCAAGCAAAAGAACTGTCATAATAGACATAGAGACCAATCAGGAAACACCCCTTGGGGCTAGATAGGAATTCAATTTTCCCCAACCATCATGGATATTCAAAATTGGGCAAAACCCACCAAAGTGCTTGTATTAATCTGTTCTCACATTGCTATAAAGAACTATCTGAGACTAGGTGATTTATAAAGTACAGAGGTTTAATTAGCTCATGGTTCCACAGGTTGTGCAGGAAGATGGCTATAGAAGCCTCAGGAAACTTACCATCATGATGGAAGGTGAAGGAGAAGCAAGCATGTATTACCACGGCAGAACAGGAGAGAGAGATAATGAGAAGACAGGGGGGCAGGGGGAAGGTGCTACACACTTTTAAACAACCGGATCTCATGAGAACACCATCACAAGAATAGCAAGGGGGACGTCTGCCCCCATGATTCAACCACCTCACACCAGGCTCCTCCTTTAACATGTGGTGGTTAGAATTTGACCTGAGGTTTTGGTGGGAACACAGAGCCAAACCATATCATTCCACCCCTGGCACCTCCCAAATCTCATATTCTTCTCACATTTCAAAACACAATCATGCCTTATCAATAGTCTCCCAAGTTTTAATTCATTCCAGCATTAACTCAAAAGTCCAAGTCCAAAGTCTTACCTGAGACAAGACAAGTCCCTTTCACCTATCAGCCTGTAAAATAGAAAAACAAGTCAGTTACTTCCAAGCTACAATATGTGTATAGACATTGGGTAAACCGTTCCATTACAAGAGGGAAAATTCAACCAAAACAAAGGGCAAGCCCATGCAAGTCCGAAACCCAGCAGGGTAGTCATTAAATCCTAAAGCTCCAAAATAACCTCCTTTGACTCCATGTCTCACATCCAGGACACACTGATGTAATGGGTGGATCCCAAGGCCTTGGGCAGCTCCACCCCTGTGGCTGCTTTCATGAGCTGGTATTGTGTGCCTGCAGCTTTCCTATGTGCATGGTGCAAGCTGTCAGTGGATCTACCATACTGGGGTCTGGAGGACAGTGGCCCTCTTCTCACAGCTCCACTAGGCAGTGCCCCAGTGGGGACTCTGTGTGGGGGCTCCAACTCCACATTTCCCCTCTGCACTGCCCTAGCAGAGGTTCTCCATGAAGGCTCTGCCCATGCAGCAGACTTCTGCCTGGACATTCAGGCATTTTTATACATCCTTTGAAATCTAGGTGGAAGCTCTCAAACCTCAGCTCTTGCCTTCTGCACACCCACAGGCCCAACACTATGCAGAAGCTGCCAAAGCTTGGGGTTACACCCTCTGAAGCAACAACCTGAGCTGTACCTTGGCCCCTTTTAGCCACAGCTGGAGATGGAGTAGCTGAGACACAAAGTACCATGTCCTGAGGCTTCACAGAGCAGCGGAGCCTTAGGCCTGGCCCATGAAACCATTATTTCCTCCTAGGTCTCCAGGCCTTTGACAGGAGAGGCTGCCACTAAGGTCTCTGAAAAGCCCTGAAAGCATTTTTCCAGTTGTCTTGTCTGTTAACATTTGGATGCTTCAAAATCAGCAGAGTCTTCCCACTTATGTTTCGGGATTGAGTAGTGTTTGCTAAAGTAGAAGAACAGACTCTTGTGCAGTGTTTCTGTCTCTAGTATGCCTTCCTTTAAAACTTTAAAGTAATTTAAACTTGTAAGTATGTGAGAAAAATTCAAAATCTAAACACTTTTAAAATTAAAAATGAAGTCTTACTTCTTGATCCCAGGCTTTCTTTTAAAAAGTAACATTGTTGATACTTTTTTTACAAATCCTACACTATGCATCTTTTATTAATTTTTGGTAAACTTTTTATTGAAATATGAAATACATAAGGAAAGGTGCGTGGATGTTGAGTGTATATCTTGATGGATTGTCACAATGTGAGTACACTTGTGCTATTTGTGCATAAATATCTCCCACTGCACTTATGCCCATTCAAAGAGCCTAGAGAAAAATATTTTATAGTTCCTCACCAATGCTTCAAAACTTAACCCCCTCTAGCTGGCCACCCCAGAAATCTTGGTCTTTTGAACATATGAATTAGCTCCCCACATGGCAGCCTTCTTCTATTTCTGTGATTTTTGCAAGACTATTACCAACATATGGAGTTTAGAAGGCCAATAGATGGAAATTTTCTCTTCTCTCCTAAGTTCAGAATTGAGAGAGATGCACATACAGACACACAGAGTATAAATTGTATTATTGGGTAAAAGCTCTATTGCAGTATATCTTAGATTTGTTGTGACAACAGAAGTGGACAACTCCAGGAAAGATGAATAAGAAAACAACGCTTGGACATGTAATCATTGACTTTAATAATACACCACCCCTAAGTTGGATTAGACTCCATACATCTAAGCTATCTCATTTCAGGAATAGAACTTATCTGATAAACTTACTGCATAATGAGAAATAGTTCAGAGTAAGCTCTGTGAGGCAAGGCATAAAAAGAGGCCAAAGAGGTGCAGGGTAATTTGAGCATGCTCAAGTATCCAGTTTATGTATAAAGTAAGTCACTTCTTCCACATACTCCACACCTTGCTGCAGCCCCAGGACAGACATGGGGAGAGGATGGAGAGGAACTTGAAATGCTCTTCCCACAATTTTATTTTCCTGGAGACTAGAGTAGAAATTCCATTTTTGTATGTGGAAATAAGGAGTGGAGAAAAAGTTAAAATGAAATAATATGCTAGCAATTTGATTTCTTCTAATTTATAATTAAAATAGCTATCATGACCCCAAAAAGAAAAGAAAAATCTCATAAAAACATCAAGAAGTAAGACTGGCAGCTGAACTAGTTTCAGAATATGGGAAGAATTTCAATTAGGTAAAATACAAGAAAACTTAAATGAGAACCCCAGTTCTTTGTAACTGCAACAAATGTTTGCCATGTAAGCAATGTTAGGGGCATTATACCATTTTAATACAGGCAAGGTTCATTTTATTGCATTTTTATTTATTATGCTTTCCAGATATTGTGATTTTTACAAATTGAAGGTGTGTGGCAACCCTACCTATATTTAGCAATTACAGCGACACTACTATTTCAACAGTATGTGCTCACTTCGTGTCTCTGTCACATTTTTCTAATTCTCACAATATTTTAAACTTTTACATTATTATTATATCTGATATGGTGATCTGTGATCAGTGATTTTTTATATACTTATTGTAATTGTTTTGAAGTGCCACAGACTGCGCTTATATAAGACAGTAAATTGAATTGGTAAATATTGTGTGTTCTGACTGCTTCACTGATTGGCTGTTCCCCCATCTGTCTCCCTCTCCTTGGACATCTCTATTCAATGAGACACAACAGTATTGAATTAGGACAATTAATAACCCTCCATTGCCTTCTAAGTGTTCAAGGAAAATGAACAATCACATGTATCTCACTTTAAATCAAAAACCAGAAATGATTAAGCCTAATGAGAAAGGCATATCAAAAGCCAAAATAGACTGAAACCTGGGCCTCGTGTGCCAAACAGTTAGCCAAGCTGTGAATGCAAAGGAAAAGTTCTTCAAGGAAATTAAAAATGCTACTCCAGTAAGCACACAAATAATTTTAAAAAGTGAAACAAACAATGCTGATGTTGGGAGAGTTTGGGTGGTCAGGATAGAAGATCAAACCAACCACAATATTCCCTTAATCCAAAGCCTAGTCCAGAGGAAGGCCCTTCCTATCATCAATTCTGTGAAGGTTTAGAGAGGTGACAAAGCTGTAGAAGAAAAGGTTGAAGCCAGCAGAAGTTGGTTCATGAGGTTTATGGAAAGAAACTGCCTCCATAACAAAAAGGTGCAAGGTGAAGCAGCAAGTGCTGATACAGAAGCTGCAGCAAGTTATACAGAAAGCTAAGCTAAGATCTAAGATAATGAAGGTGGCTACACTAAACAACAAAATGTTGATGCAGATGAAACAGCCGTCTATTGGAAAAATATGCCATCTAAGGCTTTCATATTTAGAGAGGAGTCAATGCCTGACTTCAAAGCTTCAAAAGACAGACTGACTCTCTTGTTAGGGACTAGTGAAGCTGGTAATTTTAAGTTGAAGCCGGTGCTCATCCACCATTCTGAAAAACCTAGGTTCCTAAGAATTATGCTGAGGGAGGCAGCAATATGGTCAACTAGATGCAGCCAGAAAGATCATCTGCTACCAAAGGACCAGGACATCAGGAAGACCAGTGCACTCCTAGCAGATCTTCAGAAGGAAGGCATTGAGAGTAGATGGAGGGGAGATACGGATGCTGGGCTGAAGGAGAAGGAAGCTGGTAACTCTGAATGGGGCTACCCTGCACCAGGACTCACTCCTGGCTCCAAGTGACTCCTGAGGAAGGGGTGTGTTGAACAGGAAAGGCGCAACCTGCTCTCGCCATGTGCCTAAGGAATCCTGGCAGAAGGAGACCTCATGACCACAAAGGACACGTGAGGTGGCAGGAAGAGCTGCTTAGAAAAGTGGTAGGGGCAGAACTTCAGCCAGTGCAGAGCCCAGAGGGTTTGGTGCAAAGCATCTGGAGTGGAGGACCTCCAAGATACTCATTTCCCAAGCTTGACTTGCTCTTGTAGGACACTTTAGTCCTAGGGGAATTGTCAGACCTGAACTCTGCAAGGAGATCTTGCCCATGAGATGGACCAGTCTGACCTGAGCACCCCTCAGTCAGCTTGCCTCTGCCAAGGCCCCAGCCTGGCTGTACCTGCTTGCAGTGCAGCCTCGGATCCCCCTGGGGACCTGCATCATAGCTCCTGAACTGGCAGATGACACCTGACAGAGAGCTCCAGCCGAGAGGCCCCCACTGACACACACCAGCCCATCTATGCCTTCCCCAAACTGCAGCCTCCCCTGTGCCACTTTGCTTGCACACACTCATCTACTGCCACCCCCCACATTGCTTTGCTGGTTCATGTGTGCATGGGTAGACCTTGACTCCCCTTCCCTGCCAAGGCAAGGGTGCACGTGCACCCTGCTATTTCACTGCTGCTGGCATAAGTGCACCACACCACCCTACTCCCTACAGCACAGCCACTGCTATCAGAGGATTGGCAGGAATAGAGTCCATCAGGCCCACCCCAACCAGCACCCTGCCCGTGTATTGACACTGCCACTGGTGCAAAACTAACCACAGAAAACAGTGGACCTGCCCCCATCCTGACTGGCAGTGGACACCACTGCCCAAATGAAAATGTACAGAGGGCACACATAGTGCCCAGCAGTGCTCCACCCTTGTGCTAACACCACCACAGGTACAAACAAATACACAGTTGCCAGCAGAGCCCACAGCCCAACCCAAGCTATGCTGCCGATACAGGAGCTAGAAAGAAAGTATTTAGGCAGATAGTGAGGGTAAGAGAGTCCTTGGTAAGGTTTCCTTTTAATAAAAAGAAGCCCCAAAATCATTTCTTTTCTAACAAAAAGCAGCCTGAAGTATCAAGCTTCAAGTATAGATAAGCAAGCTAAATGCTTGCAGAGGTAAATGCTGGCCACTGTGCCAATAGAAAAAAAATACCTGGAAGCCAGGTATATTCAACACGGAGGTTCCCTCTTTCCTTTTCTTTGTCAACCATCTGTGCAGTAAAGAGGCAGGCAGCATGACACCAGGCAGGTAGAGAAACAATTTGCATAATAAAATATTAGGGTGGAGCAGCCAGCTTCTTTGCACGCTATGTAAATGGTACACCTGGTCCAACCAATCTTTTGGGCCCTATGTAAATCAGACACTGCCTCTTCAAGCTTGTCTATGAAACCCCATGCATTTCACCACAGAACTGGAAGCCCCACTCAGGAGTCCCTGTCTCTCTGCAGGAGAGAATTCTCTTTTCTCTTTTCTTTCGCCTGTTAAACCTCCGCTCGTAAGCTCACTTGTCGTGTGTCCACGTCTTCGATGTCCTTGGTGTGAGGTGACAAACCTCAGGTATTTACCCCAGACAGCAATGCTGCCTCACTGCCACCACTGCTGCTGTGACCACCAGCATAGAGGCAGGGACCCCAGAACCCACTAGCACCATGCTGTCTTGCCACACTGCTGCTGCTGCTGGCACATGTGAATGAGCATGAGTCTCACTGCCACTGCCCTACAAAGTGCTTTGACTGGCACCACCCAATGAAGCACTCAGCGCCTTCATTGCAGCAGGTCCCTAACATCAAGAAGCCAAAGAACAAAGCTGGGGCTCAGTAACATTTCCTCATAGTTAGAGCACACAATCCAGAAACCTGAGCTGAGTCTTGCCACCTAAAATCTTACAGAAACAAAGCTAGTCGACTGAACCCACCTTATCCCACATCCAAATCCCCAGGGTCATCAAATAGCCTAAAACAAACAAAAAACACCCAAGGAACAGCAACTTTAAAGATTGAGAGAACATCAGCCCACAAAAATTAGAAGAAACCCGTGCAAGAACTCTGACAACTCAAAAAGCCAGATGGTCTTATTTCCACCAATCAACCACACTAGTTGTCCAGCAAGGGTTCTTAACTAGGTTGAAATGGCTGAAATGACAGAAACAGAATTCAGAATATGGGTAGAAATAATCAAGATTCAGGAGAATGCTGAAACCCAATCAAAGAAAGCCAGGAATCACAATAGAGCAATACAGGAGCAAACAGACAAAATAGCTAGTATAGAAAAAATGTAACTGACTGATAGAGCTTAAAAACACACTATAAAAATTACAAAATGGAATTGCAAGAATTAGCAGCAGAATAGACCAAGCTGGGGAATCTCAGAGCTTGAAGACAGGCTTATTGAAACAAGACAGACAACAATAAAGAAAAAAAAATGAAAAGGAACAAACAAAACCTAAGAGAAATATAGGATATGTAAAAAGACCAAGTGTATGACACAATTTCCTCTCTGAAAGAGATGGAGAGAATGGAAGCAACTTGGAAAACATATTTCAGGATATCATCCATGAGAACATCTTCAACCTAGCTAAAGAGACCAACATTCAAATACAGGAAACGCACAGAACCCCCATAAGATACTTCACCAGAAGACCATACCTAAGACAAATAATAATCAGATTCTCCAAGGTCGAAATGAAAAAAAAAAAACGTTGGCCCGAGGCCGTGGCTCACGCCTGTAATCCCAGCACTTTGGGAGGCCGAGGCAGGCGGATCACAAGGTCAGGAGATCGAGACCAGCCTGGCCAACCTGGTGAAACCCTGTCTCTACTAAAACTACAAAAATTGGCCAGGAATGGTGGCACATGCCTGTAGTCCTAGCTACTCAGGAGGCTGAGGCAGGAGAATCGCTGGAACCCAGGAGATGGAGGTTGTGGTGAGCCGAGATCGTACCACTGCACTCCAGCCTGGGCAACAGAGTGAGACTCTGTCTTAAAAAAAAAAAAAAAAAAAAAGGAAAAAATGTTAAAAGCAGCTAGAGAGAAATAACAGGTCACCTACAAAGGGAACCTCATCACATCAGTGGCAGAACTCTTAGGAGAAACCCTTCATGTTGGAAAATACTGGGGGACCTATATTAAACATATCGAAAGAAAAAAATTCCAACCAAGAATTTCCTATCTGGCCAAACTAAGCTTCATAAGCAAAGCAAAATAAGAGCCTTTTCAGAGAAATAAATGCTGAAGGAATTTATTTCCATGAGACTTGCCAAACAAGAGCTCCTGAAATAAGCACTGAATATAAAAAGGAAAGACTGTTACTGCGTTAGTCCATTCTCACACTGCTAATAAAGACATACCTGAGACTGGGCAATTTATTAAGGAAAGAAGTTTCATTGACTCACAGTTCAGCATCGCTGGGGAGGCTTTAGGAAACTTACAATCATTGCAGAAGGGGAAGCAAACACGTCCTTTTCCACATAATGGCAGGAAGGAGAAGTGCAGAGTGAAAGGGGGCAAAGCCCCTTATAAAACCATCAGATCTCATGAGAACTCACTCACTATCATAAGAACAGCATGGAGGAATGCTCCCATGATCTAATCACCTCCCATCAGGTCCCTTCCCCAACACGTGGGGATTACAATTCAGATTACATTTCAAAATGAGATTTGAGTGGGGAACGCAGAGCCAGACCATATCAGTTAGCATCCACTAGAAAAACACACATACACAGACAAAGGACACTATAAAGTGACCGCACAAACAAGACTGCATAATAACCGGCTAACATCCTGATGACAGAATCAAATCCACACATACCAATATTAACCTTAAGTGCAAATGGGTTAAATGCAGCAATTAAATTAAATCCAATTAAAATCTCAGAGTGACAAGCTGGATAAAGAAGAAAGACCCAGTAGAACGTGGTCTTCAACAGACTCATCTCTCATAGGCTCGAAATAAAGGGATGGAAAAAAATCTACCAAGCAAATGGAAAACACAAAAAAGCAGAGGTTGCAGTCCTAATTTTAGAAAAAAAAATAGATTTAAACTGACAAAGATCATAAAAGAGAAAGAAGGACATGAAATGAAGAGAAAGAAGGACATGAATTGAAAGGTTCGATTCAACAAGAAGTCCTGACTACCCTAAATATATATGCAACTAGCACAGGAACACCCAGATTCACAAAGCAAGTTCTTAGAGACCTACAAAGAGATTTAGTCTACCACACAATAATAGTTGGAGATTTCAACACCCCACTGACAGCATTAGATAGATCACTGAGGCAGAAAATTAACCAAGGTATTCAGGACCTAAACTCAACCCTGGGACAAGTGGACATGATAGACATCTACATAACTCTCCATTCTGATCCAATATACTATATGTTCTTTTTATCTACACATGGCACATGGTCTAAAATCAACCACACAATCTGACATAAAACAATCCTGATCAAATGCAAATGAACCACAATCATATTAACCACTATTTTATGCCACAGCACAATTAAAATAGAAATCAAGACTGAGAAAGTACCTTAAAACCATACACTTAAATATAAATTAACAAACCTGCTACCAAATAACTTTGGGGTAAATAATGAAAATAAAGCAGACATTAATACGTTTTTTCAAAACTAATGAGAACAAAATACAACATACCAGAATCTCTGGGACACAGCTAAGGCAGTGTTAAGAGGGAAATTTGTAGTATTAAATGCCCACATGAAAAAATTAGAAAGATATCCATTTATCAACCTAACATCACACCTAAAAGAAGTAGACAAGAAAGAGCAAGTCAAACTCAAAGCTAGCAATAGACAAGAAATAACCAAAATCAGCTGACCTGAAAGAGATCGAGACATGAAAAGCTATTTATGGTGTCAACACATCGAGGAGGCTTTTTTTTTGGAAAATTAATAAGATAGACTTATTGGTAGACAAATACAGAGAAAAAAAGAGAAGATCCAAATAAACACAATTAAAAATGAGAAAGGGGATGTTACCATTGGCCCCACAGAAATATCAAAGAGAAAAAAAAATAGAGACAACCGTGAACACCTCTATGCACTCAAGCTCAAAAAGCTAGAAGATACCTGAATGAATTCCTGGACACATACACCCTCCCAAGACTGAACCAAAAAGAAATTGAATTCTTGCACGAACCAATAATGAGTTGTGAAATTGAATCAGTAATAAATAGCCCAACAACCAAAAAAAGCCCAGGACCAGACTGATTCACAGCCAAAGTCTACTAGATGTACTAAAAGGAGCTGGCACCATTTCCATACAAACTATTCTGAAAAATTGAAGAGGGACTCCTCCCCAACCCATTCTATGAGGCCAGCATCATCCTAATACCAAAACCTGGACACAACAACAAAAAAAACTTCAGGCCAGTATCCTTGATGAGCACTGACGCAAAAACCCTCAACCAAATGCTAGCAAACCGAATCCAGCAGCACATAGAAAAGCTCATCCACCATGATAAAGTTGGATTTATCACTGGGATGCAAGATTGGTTTAAGATACAAAAATCAACAACTGTGATTCATAAGCAGAACTAATGACAAGAACCACATGATTATCTCAATAGACGCAGAAAAGGCTTTCGGTAAAATTCGACACCCCTTTATGTTAAAAACTCCCAATAAACTAGGTATTGAAGAAACATACCTCAAAGTAATAAGAGCAATCTATGACAAACCCACAGCCAACATCACATTGAATAGTCAAAAGCTGGATGCATTTTCCTTGAAAACTGACACAAAGCAAGGATCCCCTCTCTCACCACTCCAATTCAACATAATATTGGAAATTCTGGCCAGAGCATTAAGACTCAAGTACTTACTTCAATATCCTAGAGAAATGAGTCATTAATCCAATCAAAATGTGGGAAATCTCGATACTTATTTATTCATACTTCTGAGAAGACAATATCATGCCTTATGGCTCAGAGTTATGTGGTTTCTGAGGTTCTCCACACAGAAGGTAAACTTAGCAAGAGCTAATAAAAGCAAAACAATTACAAAGTCGATTGGATCAGAGTGAACGTCATTCGGCTTCTGTAAAAGGCTGGCAGGTGCTGCGTGTGGATACGAGAGGCAGCAAGATTTCAGATAACATGAGTCTGCTGGAGAATAAAAATGGTGTCCTGAGTTAAGGTAAAGTTCGTAGAGCAGTCAGAGGCACACAAAAATGTCAAAACTGGGACTACTTAGGCTCCGTTAAATCAACGCACTTCATCACATTGATTTTCATTGTTTATTCTCATTCCCTTGTTTACTTATTCATTACATGCTGCTCCACTCAGAGCATTTTTGACTTGCTTGAACATTTCTTTATTAGCTTGTTGGTGCTGGTTTTGCTTGTCAGCTACACTATTCATTTCTGGAATAACACTTTATACTAAGGCAGTTGGTGCTTCTTGACTGAACAGGCCAGTTGTAATTTCTCTGCACTCTATAGTGATGTCAGTTTTCTTCAACCCAAGAAGGACTATTTGCACAAGTAAGATGCTTTCACTCCTAGTTGTTTTTTTACTGCCAGTCAGGTACTCACCAAATTTCGTATCTTCTTTACTCTTCTATCATGACATCATTATCCCGTGGGATCCCAGTTATGCACATGTTATCTAAGTGAATTATTTTGTCCACAGGCTCTGCTATCTGATTTTTACATTCCCATCTAGCACTTGCTGAAATTTAATTTTCTTCAAATTTGGTGACTTTGGATAATACTATTACCACTGTGGTTTTTAAACTCTTTGAAAGTCTTTGGGGCCTATAAAAGGCACAGGGCTTTACAAAAGTAATTCTCACATATTGGTGTGTACAATTTAAAGACCATGTGAAATGTAGATGACTGGCTCCACTTTGAAAAAATTATGATTTACTATATATGGGGTGAGGGGGGCCACAATTATGCATTTTAAAGAAGCTACAGCTTTCTCTCCTGTGTGATTAATAGTGATTTGTTGATAATCCATCATGATGCAATACATAGTTTAAAATGGAAGCCTTCTATTTTAGAATAATTTTAGATTTATGAAACAGTTGCAAACACTGTACAAAGCATTTTCATGGACATTTCACTCAGCTTCCCCTAAAATTAATATCTTACATTGTACATGCATTTAAACTAAAAAATTAACATTAACATATTACTATTAACTAAACTTCAGACTATATTCGGATTTATAGATTTTTATACCCATGTCCTTTTTTAGTGCCAGGATCCAACCCAGCCTACCACATGGAATTTAGTTTTCATGTCTCTTTAATCTAAAGTCTGTAACTGGTTCTCAGCCTTTACTTGTTTCCCATGACCTTTATGGTTTTGAGGAGTACTTGAGAATTTTGTAAAATGTCCCTGGACTTGGGTTTGTTAGATGTTTTCTCCTCATTAGGCTAGGATTCTGGAATTTAGGGAAGAACACTACAGAGGTGAAGTGTTTTTCTCATCACATCCTATCAGAGGAGCACATGATACCAACGTGACTTCTCACTGCTGATATTGGATCATTTGGTTAACGAGAGGACTGCCAGGCTTCTCTCCTAAAATGTTACTATTTTTCCCTTTCCATATTCTGTTTTTTAGAATCCAGCCCACACTCTGGGGAGGGCATTTAAATTTCACCTGCTGGAGGGAGGAGTATCTATGTACATTTTTTGAAATTCTTTGTAAGAAAGACTTTTACCTTTCTCCTCATTTATTTATTTGTACAATTATTTATATCAGTATGGACTCATGAATATTTTATTTTATACTGTGTTATAATTTTTAAATTTTAATTCATTTTGTTGCTTAAATTGTTTTAACTTTGGCCATCGAGTGCTCTTTCAGTGTGGCTCCTGATCTGCTTTTATTCTTTTGTTTTCTGAGCACTTCTGTATTTTCTGGCATTACATAATACTCCAGGCTCATCTTGTGTTTTCACTGCCCCAGGCCTAGAATTACTCATTTCTCCAAGGATGTCTGTTTTTTGTTTTGCATTTGTTATTTTGGAGAATGGTATTTAGAAACCAAGATCTGGGCACTGGAGGTACCTGTTGCTAATTGGGTGTCATTTTTTTCTAGTTTCTCAGCAGACAGAGCTATAAAATATATGCATGTATACTAACCAATATGTATACACATCTATAATTATTTCTTTAGCTATTAATCTCTGTACATGTTAAACCACTATATATTATAAACTTTTTTGTGTTCTTTGTTTTCTTATTGTTAAGTTTTAAGATTTATTTATGTATTCTGGATATGTGTCTTTTGTATAATATTCTACTTTGAAAAGTGAAAAAAATAAAGTGGCTGTAAGGTACAAAAACTGTTTAAATGAACAGTCACCTGAAAATTTTTGAAGATATCCAGTTGATCTTTAAGAGCTTCAATGTGTGTTTTTCTGTGGGATTATTTAGAATATAGAAGTTTTATTCAAACCTTCACCCATTTTAGATAAGTGAGTACTCATATGAGCTTGCTAGTTAGAGTACTGTTATAGAGAATTGGTGAAGCATTGGCTCTTGAATTTAACACACAGTCCATGGAATTTTTCTAAGTAAGAAAGTTAAAAATAAATCCATATCAAATTTGGTCTTACCAACTTCACATTATGAAATCTACTAAATATCTTGAGACTTTAACATAGATTCTTATAATCGATAAATGAAAATATTTGTGATATATAAATGTATGATGTTTGTTTTTCCTTTATTTAGACACTGAATGTAGAATATTTTTATTTCCAAATTGTAGTAATACTATATAAAATAACAATATTTTACTGGATGCTTATTCTGTTCCAGACCCTATACAAAATCATGTTATATAGATTATCTTGATTTACACATAAACCATTTATTTGCTTTAATGAGAAACCTAAAAGAATATATATTGCGTCTATTTTGCAGAGGAGGAACCAAAGAGAAGAGAGGCGTTGATCATGCTTCATTTACAAGGAGGAACTAGGGTATACCTGCTAGTAATGGTAGAAAACATTGTTCAGCTGCACCTCACAAGGGAAGTCAGAAACCTTCTTTTCAAAAATGAGTAAGAATGTACAGGAAAAATTATTATGTGATGAGAAAGTGATATGCATAAGGAACAATGCAGGCTGAATTTGTCTATAATTAAAATTTTTTATAAAAATGCTTTTTCATAGGTATTGTTTTAAGCACCATAAGAGAGATAAAAATTTAACTGATATTATTCAAAGGAAAATCAAAAATTACGACTGGACTGGGGGGTATAAAGATACTGAGATTGGAAAGGAAGACAGGAAATTGTCTTGTGTGTGTGTGTGTGTGTATGTGTGTGTTTGTTTTTGACGGAGTCTCGCTCTGTCGCCAGGCTGGAGTGCAGTGGCGCGATCTCGGCTCACTGCAATCTCCGCCTCCCGGGTTCAAGTGATTCTCCTGCTTCAGCCTCCCTAGTAGCTGCGACTACAGGCACGCGCCACCATGACCAGCTAATTTTTGTATTTTTAGTAGAAACGGAGTTTCACCATGTAGGTCAGGCTGGTCTCAAGCTCCTCACCTTGAGATCCGCCTTCCTCGGCCTCCAAAAGTGCTGGGATTACAGGCGTGAGCCACTGCACCTGGCCTCAAACTGTCTTTATTCACAGATGACATTATCATAAATATAGAAAATTCAGTGAAATCTACAAAATGCTCCTGAACATAATAAGTGAGTTTACCAAGGTTGTATGATACAAGATGGATATACAAAACTCAATATTTATATATGCTAACAACAAAAAATTGGAAATTGCAATTAAAAAACAATACTACAGGCCGGGCGCGGTGGCTCATGCCTGTAATCCCAGCACTTTGGGAGGCCGAGGTGGGTGGATCACGAGGTCAGGAGATCGAGACCATCTTGGCTAACACGGTGAAACCCCGTCTCTACTAAAAATACAAAAAGTCAGCAGGGCGCGGTGGCGGGTGCCTGTAATCCCAGCTACTGGGGAGGCTGAGGCAGGAGAATGGCATGAACCCGGGAGGCGGAGCTTGCAGTGGGCCAAGATAGCGCCACTGCAGTCTGGCCTGGGCGAAAGAGCGAGACTCCGTCTCTTAAAAAAAAACAAAAAAAAACAAAACAAAACAAAAAAAAACTACATATAATAGTATGAAAAACAATATTTAGGGAAAATCTGGAGAGAAAAAGATTTGAAAGACACATACACTAAAAAATAAAAAATATTCCCGAGAAAATGAAAAATCACATAAACAAATGGAAAGATGACCTTCCTCAGTGGTCAGAACATTTCATATTGGTAATATGCCAATTATCCTCAAATTGATCTATAGATTCAACAGAATCCTAATCAAAATCCAAACAGGACTTTTTCTAAGACATAGACAAGCAGATTTTAAAATTTCTATAGAAATTCAAAGGACCTAGAAGAACCAACTTTGTAAAAGAACATTGTTAAAGAATTAGTACAGCCTAATTTCTAGATTTATTATAAAGCTAGAGTAACCAAGATAGTGTGAAATTTGTGTGAGAGAAAAATCAATGGAAGAGAAAACAGTGCCCAGAAATTGACCTTCAAATAGACAACTGATACTCTACCAATTTCCGAATGTAATTCAGTGGAGAAAAGATTGTCTTTATAAAAATAGTTCTGAAATTATCAGATATGCGTAAGCAATAGGTACATTTTTAAAATAAAAACTTTGATCTATATCTTGTGCTGTTTACAAAAATTATAGCATTTAAATGAAAAAAATCTTTGTGACCTTTGGATAGGCAAAGTTTTTCATAGATACATCAAAAGAAGCACAATCCGTAAAAGAACAAATTGATAAATTGGACTTCATCAAATTAAAAAACTTCTCTTTGACACAGACAATGAAAGAGCAAAGCCAAGGATGAAGTGAAAAATTTGCAAATCATGCATCTGATAACCTATTTACATCTAGAACACAGCAAGGATTCTCAAAACTAAATATGATATCCAGCAACACAATTTAAAAATGGGGGGAAAATCCACAGAAACTTCAACCAAGGGGAGATAAGGATGGCAAATAAGCAAATATAGAGATGTTCAATATCAGTAGTCATTAGGAAACGCAAATGAAACCCAGAATGAGATTCTACTACACACCTGTTAGAATCCGGGCTGCGCAGGTGGCGTCAGCGCTGCCCCACCTCCAGGAAGGAACCTGGGCTGCGTGTGGCTGGCGGTCTCCTAGCGACTAGAGCGGCAGGGATCTGGAACCTCAGAAGCTGGAGAGGTGGCACAACAGAGAGGGCCACCATGGGGGACCGGAGGCCACAGGACCGGCCAAGGTCCCAAGGCATGGACTCCAAGCCCTGGTACTGTGACAAACCGCCTTCCAAGTACTTCGCGAAGCGCAAGCACAGGCGCCTGAGGTTCCCGCCTGTGGACACCCAGAACTGGGTATTTGTGACGGAGGGCATGGACGACTTCCGCTACGCCTGTCAGTCTCCTGAAGATACGCTTGTTTGTCGCCGTGACGAGTTTTTACTCCCCAAAATATCTCTCAGAGGTCCCCAAGCTGACCGCAAAAGCAGGAAGAAAAAGCTGCTCAAGAAAGCGGCCCTATTTTCCGAGCTCTCGCCAGTACAGCCAGCACGGAAGGCGTTCGTAGAGGAAGTGGAAGCCCAGCTGATGACCAAGCATCCCTTGGCCATGTACCCCAATCTGGGAAAAGATATGCCTCCAGATCTCCTACTACAGGTGCTGAAACAGCTGGATCCCGAGAGGAAGCTGGAGGACGCTTGGGCTCGTTGTGAGGCCCGGGAGAAGACAACCGAGGTACCCACCGAGTCTGGTAAATATCCCTGTGGGGAATCCTGCCCGCGGCCTCCCGAGACTCCGGTGTCCCGTCTCCGTCCTCAGCTTCCCAAGACTCCGGTGTCCAGTCGCCGCCCAGAGCCTCCCAAGACTCGGGTGTCCAGTCTCCGCCCAGAGCCTCCCAAGACTCGGGTGTCCAGTCTCCACCCGGAACCTCCAGAGACTCGCGCATCTCATCTCCGCGTGGATCCTCCCGAGACTGGAGTGTCCCATCTCTGCCCAGAGCCTCCCAAGACTCTGGTGTCCAGTGTCCACCCAGAGCCTCCTGATACTGGAGCGTCCCATCTCTGCCCGGAGCCTCCCGAGACTCGCGTATCTCATCTCCACCCGGAGCCTCCTGAGACTGGAGTGTCCCATCTCCGCCCAGAGCCTTCCAAGACTCAGGTGTCCAGTCTCTGCCCGGAGCCTCCCGAGGCTGGAGTGTCCCATCTCTGCCTGGAACCTCCCAACACTCATCGGGTGTCCAGTTTCCTACTACAGGTGCTGAAACTGGATTCTGAGAAGAAGCTGGAAGACGCACGGGCTCGTTGTGAGGGCCAGGAGATGACAACCGAGGAACTCACCAAGCCTGGTAAATACCATTTTTGGGAATCCTGTCCGCGGCCTTTTGAGAGTCGGATGCCCCATCTCCGCCTGGTGCTTCCCATAACTCGTCGAATGGCCAGTCTCTGCCTGAAGCCTCCCAAGACTCGTCGGGTGTCCAGTCTCTGCCCGGAGCCTACCAAGACCGGAGCGTCCCATCTAAAAGAACTGTTTCAGGAAGATACACCAAGCACAATGGAGTGTGTTTCTGACTCTCTTCAACGTAGACACACATCGAGAAAACTCCGTGACTTCAAGTGGGCTGGAGACCTAGGAGTTAATGAAGAATCCATCAGCAGTCTGTTTGACTTTACCCCTGAGTGCAGAACAACCGATCAAGACCAAAAGATTAAGAAGGCAAACGAGTGTGCTTCAAGGCTGATGTACGGCATGGAGCTAGACGACATGGATGAGGTCGAATTCTTACGGATAAAATACTGGGACAGGAGACGCCGGGCGGCACCGCATTCTTATAGTGCACAGCGTGGGAGGATAAGGTATGGACCATGGTACTTCGAGCCTAAGTTGGGGAAAAAGCTAAGAAGTGATGAACCTTTGATTGACCCCAAGCCCGTACTTGAAAAGCCTGATGAACCCGACATTCTTGACGGTCTTTATGGACCAATTGCCTTTAAGGATTTCATTCTAAGCAAGGGCTACAGAATGCCTGGCGTCATTGAAAAGCTGTTTGCCAAGAAGGGATGGACTTACGACTCTGTTAAGACTCCTATTCAACGTGCAGTGCAAGTTTACAAGTACAAAGAAGACGTCACAGATGCATCAAAAGAAGATTAGATGGTTTTCAATTTACTGCTTAATTGGGTATTTCTTGCTCTCATTCTAAACATCAATCAGAATTTATGATGACTGGCCCCGTGAATGTACAACTTTGGCAACATCTGTAAATTCAATACCCAATGCTTATAAATATGTCTTAATGACCTGCTTTGGCCTCATTATTTCATATATTTTATCAATTATGTGATTTATATTCACATATACTTTTTTCACATTGTTGAAGCATTGTGAATATTACATCATCCTTTCAATTATTTGTAAAAATACATACAACCAGAAACAAAAGCAGAATTAATATTAGAAAGAGAAGTGGGGTCGGGTGCGTTGACTCACATCTGTAATCCCTCCCCACTTTGGGAGGCCCAGGTGGGTGCATTGCTTAAGCCCAGGAGTTCAAGACCAGCCTGGGAAACATGGTGAAACCTGGTCTCTACAAAGGGCAAAATTTAGCCAGGCATGGTGGCGTGCACGTGTAGTCCCAGCTACCTGGGGGGCTGAGGTGGGAGGATGGCTTCGTGCCACCGCACTGCAGTCTGGGGGACAGAGCAAGACCCTGTCTCAAAAAAAAAATGTGCTGAGTAAAAGAAGAATTATATAACTCTTCTTATATGAAAATTTAATGAAATAATTATAACAATTATTTTGTTAACCAAAAATTGGAGTCTATAGCCAAAATAATGTTAACACTTTTTAATAGTAAAATTATTATCTTCCCTTTTAGGATTCCATCAAACCCCCAAAACAAGTTTGAAAACTATGTATCAAAATCATAGGTGAAACTTGAGTTACGCCATTTTATCATCTCTCTCAATTGAATGTATATAACTATTCACCATGTTCATAAACATTCACTACAAAAGACTATTACCAAATCGTATAAACAGGTGCAGAATAGGAGGCAGCTTCAACTCCCTGGCAAATCTCATGTGCAAAATAGATCTGTATGAGAAAAGTAACATCAAATATCCTTACATATCTGTTCAAGTTCAAATAATTTTCATTTCATTAATAGCAATTTGAAATGCATTCATAAGTTTAAAATAATAAATCAAGCAACTGCTTTACCTTTCAAAAATAGCAGGTAAAACTGGTATAGGTAAATTTGTAGGTAAATATATTTGTAGTGTAGATCTGAAGTGCACTTTTTCTTTCGGAGATGAAAGAATCCATCTGTAAATGGACGTATATGCATATATTTCATCCAAGTAAGCAGTGATATATATATCTGTCTATGTGCAAATTCTGTTTCTAGTGAAGTTTGTGTGTGGGCATTGTGTTCCTGAAGAACCAAGTCTTTTTTGTGTTGTTTTCTAAGCCAAGGCCTAGAATTTCTCTTCAAACTCATCATCATAAACTTAGGTTCATGTCACCACTATCTCTTTTTGCAATTCTGCAATGGTTTCCAACCTGTGTCTCCTCTTGAGTGTATTTTTGCAAAATATAAGCACGGCTTGTTAATTCTCCAGGCTCATCTAAACTTATCTAGGTACATAAACACTCACACACACATGCACACACACACACACACGCACATGCTCCTGCATTCCAGACTCCAGTCAATATTCCTTTTCTTACCTCCTTGTCTTTCTCGTGTCTTCGTACATAATATTCTCTATTGTTAGGACTTCACTCAGGCCATGTAAACCTGTTGCAGTGTCTCCCCACCAAGGTCAATTTCATGATTACTTTTATTAAAATCCTATGTCTGTAGACAAGGAAACTCATTTTCCAGTTGTCTTCCACTGAAGAACTCACCTCAATATCCTAGAGAAGTGAGTCATTAATGCCTTCAAAATAAGGGAAATATCCATACTTATTTACTCAGACTTCTGAGAGGCCAATATCATGTCTTATGGCTCAGAGTTATCTGGTTTCTGAGGTTGTCCACTGAAGCCTTGGGCTTCATGCAACAGCATCCAATGTTCAGTTCCTTTCAGCAAGAGACAGACCTACTTTTCACATTTGGTTATGTGACCTTGCACTTCACGGAGGATGTATCCTCATTTACACGATGGATACCATATGATGAAGCTCAAATTCTGGTGAGACTTAAAAGATTACTTATTAAAGTCCCTAATGCCTCAGGCATCACAGAATTGATACTCAACATATATTTGTGGAAGAGGAGGAGGGAGTAGGAAAGGAAGAAAGGTACTAAACATAGCACAACAGAAAAACACTATTAAAAATAACTTTTTGGTGATGTTTATCTGGTGATAGCCTTCACCTATATCACACACAATCTTAGTTGTTGCTTAAGATGAAAATGTGGTGCTTGCTTTGGCTACACATATACTAAATTTAAGATGAAAAAGTGTAATTGCAAAATAAGAGCCACTGGTTAGGGCTTCTATTGCTTATTGGCAATGATTTCTTCCAGTGAAATAAACTTTCCTCAGAGAAATTATGTGGGCTTCTCCACGCTGTAATTACACACATTGGTATTACTTGTCACACAGATATAAACAGAAACAATGTTTGATCTATTTGGGATTTTTAGCACCAGTTGGTCTTCTGAAAATATCCTGACTTCAAATCCATAGGTTTTAGAAAAAGAGAGAATTCAAGAGAGCTTGATATATAATTGTGCCTAAAGCTATGAATGGTATATTCCATAAATACTGTAGTAATCAATTGTATTACAGCATCACATAGGTTTCATAAAAGCTTTGGAGAATTTGTATGCAAGAATATGTGATTTAACGAAGATGAAGGGAATTATTTTTCATTTCTGAGAGTCTGCATGAATGAGCAAGGGCTTTGGAGCTAGGCAAAAATGAGTTCATATCCCAGTGCTGCCATGTTCTTATCCTGCAGCTTTAGGCAGAGGTAGAACAGACCGAGGGAAAACACAGAGGCTGGGCTGAAGGGGAAGGAAGCTAGGAACCTTCCCGGGGCTACTGCACACTGGAATGTGTTCCTGGCCCCCAGTGACTCCTACAGAGGGGGTGAGTTTAACAGGCAAGGATGAACCCACTCTCACTGTGAGCCTTGGGAATCTCAGCAGGAGAAGACCCTAGACCACCATGGACACTTGAGTTGGCAGGGAAAGCCACTTAGAGAAGTGGTAGGGGCAGAACTCCAGCCGGGGGCAGAGCGCAGAGGGTGTCCTGTGGGGGCAACTGTAGTGGAGCACTGTCAGAGATGTGCATCCCCCTAGGCTAGATTTGTTCCCATGGGAGACTTTAGCCTTAAGGGAACTTTCGAACCTGAACTCTGCAGGGCAGTCTTACCCATGAGACAGGACCGGTCCAACCTGAGCACCTCTGGCATCTTGCAGGGCCCCAGCCTGGCCACAGCTGCTTGCAATATGGCTGCCAGGAGCCCCCTGGGGCCCACATCACAGCTGGTGCATCACACCTGACTGGCAGAGTGTTCCAGCAGAGTGGCCTCTGCAGACACACAACAGGTCGTTCACAACCATAGCCACCCTCCACATCTCTATGCCAGTGCGTCTATGCCCAAGCAGATCTATCCTTCCCTTCTCCACCAGCACACTGGTACTGGTATACCTGCACCCTGCCTTTCCACTGCTGCTGCCATGAGTGCACCCCCTCACCATCCTCACCCTACTGCACCGCTTCAGAACATCGGCAGGCACAGAGCTCCCCAGCCCCACCCCTGCCAGCACCCTGCCCCTGAGCCTCAGCCACCAGAGCAAAACTAGACATAGAAAACAGTGGGCTAGCTCCCAGCCTTGAGCAGACTGCTGCCAGCTTGAACATGCACAGAGGGCACACACAGTCCTGCACCCACCAATGCCCCACCTCCATGCTATAACCACAACCTGCAGGGACATGCACAGAGTCTCAGTGGGGGCTCTTCACCCCCACCAAGCCAAACTGCCACTACTGCTGTTGCAAATACCCACATTGAGGCTAGCACCCCAGCACCCATGAGAACCCTGCTGCATCAAATGGATAAGTGTGCACCCCGCAATGCTGCTGCAGCAGCTGCTGCTGGTACATGGGAACAAGGACAGATCCCACTGTCACTGCCCTGTGAAGTGATTTGGCTGGCATCATGCACTGGAATGTTGTGACCAGTGGTCTGGTAGCACCTTAGCCCCTCCAGTACAACAGGTTTCTAACCTGGAGGAGCCAGAGATCAAAGCTGGGGCCTGATACCAGTCTACCAGAGTTATAGCATGCAATCCAGGCAGGAGTTCTGAGCTGAGCCTTGACCCCTGAAAATCTTCCAGTCATGAAGCCAGTTGACTGAATCTACCTTATATCACAATTAAGCCCCCAAGGTCATCAAATAAGATGAAAGTAAAAAAAAAATAGCCCATCCACAGTACAGAAACTTCAAAGATTTAAGAAACATTAGTCCACAAAGATGAGAAAGAACCAGCACAAGAACTCCGACCATTCAAAAAGCCAGAGTGTTTTCTTTTCTCCAAATTACTACACTGGTACTCCAGCAAGGGTTTTTAATTGGACTGAGATTTCAGAAGTGACAGAAAAAGAATTCAGAATATGGATAGGAATGATCATTGAGATTCAGGAGAACGTTGAAACCCAATTCAAGGATGAAAGAATTAATATAAAATGACACATGAGCAGACAGACAAAATAGCCAATATAGAAAATAACGAATCTCACCCTATGGAGCGGAAAAACACTCTACAAAAATTTCATAATGCAATCACAAGTATTAAAAGCAGAATAGACCAAGCTGAGTAAAGGATCTCAGAGCTTGAAGACTGGCTTTCCAAAATAATACAATGAGACAAGAATAAAGAAAAAAGAATAAAAAGGAATGGGTAAAACTTCAAAGAAATATGGAATTATGTAAAGAGACCAGATTTATTACCTATTGGTATCACTGAAAGAGATGGAGAGAATGGAATCAACCAAAAAAGACAAAGAAGGGCATTACATAGTGGTAAAGAGTTCAATTTAACAAGAAGACCTTACTATCCTAAATATATATTCATCCAACATAGAAGAACTCAGATTTATTTAGAGACCTTCAAAGAGACTTAGAATCCCACAAAATAATAGTGGGAGACTTTAACACCCCACTGACAGTATTAGACAAATCATCAAGGCAGAAAATTAACAAAAACATGAAGGACCTGAACACAACACTGGACCAAATGCTTATCTGCACATGGCACGTACTCTAAAATCAACCACACAATCGGACATAAAACAATCTCAATAAATGCAAAAGAACTCAAATCATACCAACCACTCTCCCAGACAATGAGGCAATAAAAATAGAATTCAAGATTTTTTTCGATGCGCAAAACCATACAATTACATTGAAATTAAGCCTGTTCTGGAATGGCTTTAGGTAAATAATGAAGTTAAGGTGGATATCAAGAAGTTACTTGAAATGAATGAGAGCAAAGATACAACATGCTAGAATTTCTGGAATACAGCTGAGGCAGTGTTAAGAGAGAAATTTACAGTACGAAATGCCAATATAAAAAAAAATAAGAAAGATGTCAAGTTAATGACCTAACATCACAACTAAAAGAACTAGAGAACCAAGAGCAAACCAATGCAAAGTTAGCAGAGACAAGAAATAGCCAAAATCAGAGTTGAGCTGAAGGAGACTGAGACATGAAAAATGATTCGAAAGATCCACGAAGCCAGGATCTGGGTATTTGAAAAAAAAAAATTAATGAGATAGATAGGCTGCTAGCCAGACTAATAAAGAAGAAAAGAGAGAAGATCCAAATAAATGAAGTCAAAAATGACAAAGGGGATGCTACCACTGACTCTACAGAAATACAAATAACCATCAGAGACAATTATGAACAGCTCTGTGCACACAAACTAGAAAATCTAAAATAAATGGATAAATTCCTGGACACACACATCGTCCCAAGACTGAACCAGGAAGAAATAGAATCCCTGAGCAGACCAATAATAAGTTCTGTAATTGAGACATAATAAATAGCCTACCAACAACAATAACAACAACAAAAAGCCCAGTACAAGATGGATTCACAGATGAATTCTACCAGATTTACAAAGAAGAGCTGGTACCATTCCTACTGAAACTATTCCAAAAAACTGAAAAGGAGGGACTCCTCCCTAACTCATTGTTTGAGGCCAGCATCATCCTGATACCAAAACCTGGCAAAGTTACAACAACAACAACAATAACAAAAACTTTAGGAAAATATTCTTGATGAACATTAATGCAAAAATCCTCAATGAAATACTGGCAAACCAAATCCAGCAGCACATCAAAAAGCTGATCCACCACAGTCAAGTAAGCATCATCCCTGGGATGAAAGGTTGGTTCAACATATGCAAATCAATAAATGTTATTCATCGCATGAAGAGAACTAAGGACAAAAACCACATGATTATTTCAATGGACGCAGAAAAGGCTTTTGATAAAATTCAACATACCTTCACGTTAAAATCTCTCAATAAACTAGGTATTGAGAGAATATATTGCAAAATAATGTGAGCCACATATGACAAACTCACTGCCAACATCATACCGAATGTGCAAAAGCTGAGAGCATTCCCCTTAAAAACAGGCACAAGACAAGGATGCCTTCTCTCACTGCCCCTATTCAACATTGTATTGGAAGTTTTGTTCAGGGCAATTAGGCAAGAGAAAGAAATATAGCTTATTCAAATAGGAAGAGAAGAAGTCAAACTATCCCTGTTTGGAGACATGATTCTATATCTAGATAACCCCATAGTCTCAACCCAAAAGTTCCTTCAGCTGATAAACACCTTCAGCAAATTTTCAGGATACAAAATCAATGTACAAAAATCACTAGCAATCCTATGCACCCATAATAGCCAAGGCAAGAGCCAAATGAGTAACACAATGTCATTCATAATTGCCACAAAAAGGAAAAAAACACCTAGGAATACAGCTAACCAAGGAGGTGGAAGATCGCCACAATGAGAGTTACAAAACACCACTCAAAGAAATCAGAGATAACAGAAACAAATGGAAAAACATTCCATGCTCATGAAAAGGAGGAATCAATATTGTTAAAATCGCCATACTGCCAATATACAGATTTAATGCCATTCCTATCAAATCGCCATACAAAGCAATATACAGAATCAGTGCTATTCCTATCAAACTACCAATGACATTCTTCTCAGAAACAGATAAAGCTATTTTAAAATTCATATGGAACCAAAAAAGAGCCTGAATTGCCAAGGCAATCCTAAGCCAAAGGAACAAAGCTGCAGGCATCAAGTTACTCATCAAATTATACTACCGAGACAGTAACCAAAACAGCATAGTAGTGGTACAAACACAGACACATAGACCAGTGGAACATAATAAAAAGACCAGAAATAAGGCCACGCACCTACGACCATCTGATCTTCAATAAAGCTGACAAAAACAGGCAATGGGGAAAGGACTTCCTATTCAGTAAATGGTGCTGGGATAACTGACTAGCCATATGCAGAAGATCGAAACTGGACCCCTTCTTTATACCATATACAAAAATAAACTCAAAATGGGTGAAAGACCTAGGGAGTACCATGGTTTAAATGGTAAGACTTAAATGTAAAACACAAAGCTATAAAATCCCTATATGACACTCCTAGGGAGTACCAGGGTTTATGCCAGGGACATAAACCCTGGCAAAGATTTCATGAGGAAGACACCAGAAACAATTGCACCGAAAACAGAAATTGACAAGTGGGATCTAATTAAACTAAAATGCTTTTGCACAGCAAAAGAAACTATCAACAGAGTAAACAGACAACATACAGAACGGGAGGAAATATTTGCAAACTATGCATCTGACAAAAGTCTAATATCCAGCATCTTTAAGGAACAAACAAATTTACAAGAAGAAAATTAACAATCCCATTAAAAAGCGGGCAAGGGATTCGAATAGATACTTATCAAAAGAAGCCATCCATGCAGTGAATAAGCATATGGGAAGAAGGTCAATATCACCGATCATTAGAAAAATGCAGATCGAAACCACAAGAAGACACCATTTTACACCAGCCAGAATGACTATTATTAAACAGTCAAAAAATAATAGATGTTGGCAAGATAGAAGAGAAAAAGGAATGCTTACACACTGTTAGTAGGAGTGTAAATTATTTCAACCATTGTGGAAAGCAGTGTGGCAATTCCTCAAGAGAGCTAAAAGAAGAACTACCCTTTGACCCAGGAATCTCATTACTGGGTATATAACCAAAGGAATATGAATCATTCTATCATAAAGATGTATTACTGTGGTATGTTCATTGCAGCACTATTCACAATAGCAGACATCGAATCAATGTAATGCCCATCAATGGCAGACTACATAAAGAAAATGTGGCACATATACACCATGGAATACTACATGGCTATAAAAAAGAATGAGATCATGTCCTTTGCAGGGACACGGATGGTGCTTGAGACCATTATCCTTAGCAAACAGATGCATGAACAGAAAACCAAATACTGCATGTTCTCTTTTATAAGTGGGAGCTAAATGTTGAGAAAACATGGACACAAAGAGGGGAACAACAGACATTGGGGTCTATTTGACAGAGAAGGGTGGGAAGAGGGAGAGGATAAGAAAAAATAACTATTGGGTACTTGGCTTACTACCTGGGTGACAAAATAATCTGTACACAAACCCCCTGTGACATGAGTTTACCTATATAACAAGCCTACACACGTCCTCCTGAACCTAAAATAAAAGTATAAAAAAGAACTATGCTAATTACTCTGACTGTGCTCTGTAAAGGGGAAAACAAAGCCTGGATGACAGAACATCTGTTTACAGTATGGTTTACCGAATATCTTTTTGTTTTGTTTTGTTTTTTGTTTTTTGAGACAGGGTCTCCCTCTGTCACCCAGGGTGGAGTGCAGTGGAGCAATTATAACTCACTGCAGCCTCAACCTCCCAGGCTCAAACTATCCTTCCACCTCAGCCTCCTGAGTAGCTTTGACCACAGGCAGGTACCACCATGATGCCCATCTAGTTTTTTTTGTATTTTTAGTAGAGACGTGGTCTCATCTTGTTGTCCCGGCTTGTCTGGAACCCCTGAGCTCAAGCGATCCACCCAACTCAGCCTCCCAAAGGCTGGGATTACTTACATGCATGAGCCACCGTGCCTGGACAGTTTACTGAACATCTTAAGCTGACTGCTGAGACTTACTGCTGGGAAAAAATGATTCCTTTAAAAATATTACTGTTCATTGACAACACACCTAGTCACCCAAGAACTCTGATAGAGATTTACAGAGATGCATGTTTTTTCTTGCCTGTTAACACAACATCCATTCTGCAGCCCATGGATCAGGGAGTAATTTCAACTTTTAAGTCTTATTATTTAAGAAATAAATTTCATAAGGCTATAGCTGCCATAGATAGAGATTCCAATGATGTATCTGGGCAAAGCAAACTGAAAACCTTCTGGAAAGGAGTCACCATTCCAGATGCCATTAAAAGCATTCATGATTCATGTGAGAAGGTCAAAATATCAACCTTAACAGGAGTTTAGAAGAAATTGATTTCAACCCTCATGGATGACCTAGAGGGGTTCAAGACTTTAGTGGAGGAAGTCTCTACAGATGTGGTGGAAATAGCAAAGAGAACTAGAATTAGAATTGGAGCCTGAATTGCTGCAATCTCATGATTAAACTTGAGCCAATGATGAGTTGCTTCTTATGAATGAGCAAATAAAGTGGTTTCTTGAGATGGAAACTACTCCTGGTGAAGATGGTATTAACATTGTTAAAATGGCAACAACGGATTTATACTATTACATAACTTTAATTAATAAAATAGTGGCAGAGAGTGAGAGGGTTTACACCAACTTTGAAATACTTTCTATTGCGGGTAAAATGTTATGAAATACTATCTTACACTCCAGTGAAATATTTTGTGAAAGGAAGAGTCAATCGATGGAGCAGATTTCATTGTTGTCTTATTTTAAGAAATTGCCACAGCCACCACAACCTTCAGCAACTGCCATCCTGATCAGTCAGCAGCCATCAGCATTGAGGCAAGTTCCTCCAGCAGTGAAAAGATTGCAACTCACTGAAGGCTCAGATGATCATTAAAAATTTTTTAGGCGGGGCGCGGTGGCTCACGCCTGTAATCCTAGCACTTTGGGAGGCCGAGGTGGGCGGATCACGAGGTCAGGAGATCGAGACCATCCTGGCTAACATGGTGAAACCCTGTCTCTACTGAAAATACAAAAAAATTAGCTGGGCGTGGTGGCAGGCACCTGTAGTCCCAGCTACTTTAGAGGCTGAGGCAGGAGAATGGCGTGAACCCGGGAGGCGGAGCTTGCAGTGAGCCGAGATGGCGCCACTGCACTCCGGCCTGGGCAATGGAGCGAGACTCGGTTTCAAAAAAAGAAAATAATACAAAAAAACTTTTAGCAATAAAGTATTCTTCACTTACATTATATACATTTTAAGACATAATGTTATTGCACACTTTATTAATAGAATATAGTGTAAATATAACTTTATATGCATTCGTTAACAAAAAAAATTGTGTGACTTACTTTATTGTGGTAGTTGGATTCAAACCCACAGCATCTCCCAGGAACATTGCTTTATGACAAGATCTCATTCTATATTTTTGGTCTGTATTTCCCTCAAAACGTGGCATTATTAGAAGTGAAAGAGGATAGGCATGCCAATTATTTCTGTTATAAATTGAAGATGATTATTATTTTTCTATCAGAAAATTAAGATGTTTTTCTCAGAAGACCTAAGAAGTTTCTAGAAAAGTATGACTGTGGCACTTTTGCTCCCTCAAATGGCCATGGCCAAGATATTAGGGGAACCAAGACCCATCCATTCATGCTATTTTGGACACATTTAATTGTTGACAAATTGATGCTTATTCAAGGATAATAGAAGGTTTTTTTTCAAATTAATTGGGCCTTGTAGCTTGGTTACCAAATTTTGGTTCCTACAAAAAAGATAGAAGGAAGCCCTTCTGGTTAATCAGTAGTTCACTATTTACCATGGGATGCTCCTTCTGCCTTCCTGGTCCAGCCAATGAATCATTTTTTATTTTTGTATCCACACTCCTTGGTTTTTCTTTTATCCTCCATACAGTGATTTTGTCCAACAATTGCCACCAAGGTTCAAGGAAATGATAAACTCCAAAATCCCGAAGTTGACAGAAAACATATAATAGAGAAACAGATACTTTGATCAAAAGTATTCTTGTTTGGCTGAGTGCGGTGGCTCATGCCTGTAATCCCAGCACTTTGGGAGGTCGAGGCAGGTGGATCACCTGAGGTCAGGAGTTTGAGACCAGCCTGTCCAACATGGCTAAATTCCGTCTCTACTAAAAATACAAAAATTAGCCAGGTGTGGTGGTGCACACCTGTAGTGACAGCTACTCAGGAGGCTGAGGCAGGAGAATCACTTGAACCCAGGAGGCAGAAGCTGCAGTGAGCCGAGATAGCACCAGGAGGCAGAAGCTGCAGTGAGCCGAGATAGCACCACTGCACTACAGCCTGGGCGACAGAGCGAAACTCTGTCTCAAAAAAAAAAAAAAAAATTATCCTTTCCATTATAAAACAAAGATGGATTTATCACTCTTATTTTTGGCAAAAATTTTTTTAAAAAGTTTTACTCACAAACTGTGCAGCTCATAGAAAAATTGCATTTACAATTAAAAAGAACTCTTGCTAATTGGGCATATGACAAGATTCTGCAGCATAAAAGAAGATCACACACTTTAGTTTGAGAGAAGAAAATTATTCTGAAGCAGTTAGCAACAAGAAGCAGAGAAATATTCGAGAAAATATCTGTTTGGTATACTTAATGATATTGACAAAATGTATTTTACACGGGTCGGTCCGATCTTATATAGATCTCATACAGATCAAAACAAAATGCAAATAAAGATTGAGATAAAATGGGAGCTAACTGAGAAGCAGAAAGTAATGTAGCTTGTTTAGTTTTAAAAAATGAAATTATTGAAAGTATTAAAATCTGAATTAAAATGTAAGCAGAACTAAACAGTTATATTGGGAACGAATTGGGGAAAGATATTTTAAGAAAGAGACAAAGATGTGAAAATGTTGAAGATCATTACTGTAGAGAACAAAAAGTAGAGATATCAAAATTGTGAATTAAATATTCTTTTAAAAGGAAACAACAGATGGAACAGAAACAACAGTGAAAAATAGGTTTCAATAAAAAGGTTTCAAAATCTGCAGACCTCAGCCTGTGTAGTAAGAGATTTTAGTAAATGTCAGGAAAGTGTAATTAAATAAATAAAATCAAAGAATTAGTCTCATGAATTTTTAAATTGAGGAAAATCATCCAATTTAAATAGGAAAAAAGTGGTTCTCCAGAAGAAATAAACCAAAATAGGCTGGCCTCAGACTTCCTTAGAACATTAATCACCAGAAAACAATTTTGTGACTCATAAACTTGATATGCCTCTAAGTTATTATTTAACATGAACAGCAAAAGAAAAGCATTCTCAGAAATTAAAGGGCTCAGAAATAATACCACCCACATAAATAAAGTATTTGGTAAGATATCCTATGGACCAAGAGATGTTCAAAATAAACATAAATGAGGATTAGCAGGGAATAGTAAAATAAGTTGGATATAAATTAAAGTCTAAATAATTATGTTAAAATATGCAAGTAGTAAAATAAAATTTTAAAACAGAAATTATATTTCTAAAAGAAAATCTATAGTAAGAGCAAAAGTCGTGTGTGTGTATATATATATATATATATATACACACACATAGTTGATCCACATTATTTGTGGATTCCATATTTAAAAATTTGCTTACTACTAAAATGTATTTGTAACTCCAAAATCAATACTTATGCTATTTTTGAGGTTATTCTTGGATATGCACAGAGCAATGGAGTATTTGAGTCATCTGATGTACACGTTCCCAGCTGAGCTTCAACTTACCTTCTTGTTTCAGCTCTCATACTATAAACAAAGTCCTTTGGTAGTATATTTAGTGGCACATTTTTCATATTTTTTGTGTTTTTGGTGATTTTACTATTTAAAGTAGCCTCTACACATAGTGCTGAAATGATGTCTAGTGTTTCTAAGTGAAAGAAGGCTGTGATGTCACTTACAGAGAAAATATATGTTAGATAAACTTTGTCCAGGCATGAGTTATGGTGCTGTTGGCATGAACTCAATTTTAATGAATCAACAATATATATATTGAATAAGGTGACTTTAAAAAGAAAAACACGCAAAACGAATTTACACATCAATTGATTAACAAAAACATCGTGACCAGAGACTCACAGAAAACTTACCCTGCATTTCTTAGCTAGGAGTAATGGTTCAGTATTTGATAATTTAGTATTTGTGGTGACTTCATATAAATGAACTACTGTGAAGAATGAGAATCAACTGTATGTAGTGTGTGTGTGTGTGTGTGTGTGTGTGTGTGCGTGTGTGTGTGTAATTATAGAAATAATCAGAAAACTTTCCAGTTCATTTTACAAGGCTAACATACCCGGCAAGAGAAAATATGAAACCTGACAAAGATAAAAACCAAAACAAGCATTCCCAAGCAATCTTATTTACAATTATTTTGGTAGATTGGATTGGATTATTATTCCCATTTATTTACTTTTTTCTTCCCTATAAGAGAATCATGTATCTTTGTCCATCGTCATACAATATGCAATATCTCCCTGTGGGAGAAGTGTAATTCCTCAACTCATTAAAATCAGGCTTTGCCATGTAATTGGTTTGATCAATGAAATGTGAGTAGTTGTGATTCTGGATAACAGTTCCCAGCGAAAGGTTTAGCAGTATGGGTGAATTTCATCAGCTCTTTTACCCTTTTTATTTCTAACAAGATAAAAGATAAGGGTTGATCTCTTACCATCTCAGGATGGTAAAGACATTGGAATAGAGCTGCAGTGGTCAACATGTAAATTGGGGGTGAGAGTGAGAAAATTCTTGTAATGTATGACACTGACATGTTGGGTGGCTCTTTACCTCAACTTAATCTAGCAAAAGCTGCCTAATAAAAAGATGGGTGCAAAGATGATCAACAAAAACACCAAATTTGAGGAAAACCTTTGTTTAATTCAATAAGTTAAATTAAATGTAAAATATTTATTTAATATATTCATGATTTTATTAAACTGTAATAAATAATGACTATGCAAGTTTTACTCCAGAATTTATCAAAAGGTTTAACAGTATGAAAATTATTAATGTAGTATGTAGCAATAGGAACAATAAAAAAAAGAAACCTACAATCATGTAAATTGATCAAAAAGATATATGTGATAAAACTCAAAAGTGATTTAACAGAAAAATGCTTAATAAACAGAGTAAAATACAAATAATTAACACAATAAGCATTATTTCAATAGTGAATTCTTAGAGGTTTAATGTTAAGGAACAATTCAACCACATCTATTCTCACTGCTATTTTCAACATTGTTCTGACATTCTAGTCAATAGTTAAAGGCAAAAGGTGTGATAATAATTTTAACTCTTGAAAAAGAAGAGATCTAATTATGTATGTTTAGGGAGCTGCTGGAACATTATTGGAATCAAAAATAATAAAATATAAAAATAATGGCTAGAGGCTAGAAAATGAACCTAGAGTAATCAGTTCAATTCTTATATAACAACAATAACATCTTAGTTCATGTAATGTAACAAAATATATCATTTACAATATCAATAAAAATACACATTGTATAGTTCTAGATATGTATAGATGGATACATTTAAAACAATTATATATGTATGCCTTTTTAGTATTATGAATAGAATATTAAAAAATCTAAAGTAGTATTATAAATAATCGATTTTAAAAATTAACTGCTACTAGTACACAGTTGTGGTATTTTCACAAACTAACCACTATTTCTTTCTAAGGACTAATTTATTTTTATATAGAATTATGGTTCTATTTAATTCACCCCTTTTCCACAAATCAATACCTCCTTTTTTAGAACTGTAATTGCTGTTACTCTTCCTAATGGTCACTTAATAATTGGGATAGTTGCATCCTAAAAAAACAAAGGTTTTGTTTTTGTTTTTGTTTTTGTTTTGTTTTGTTTTTTAGCTGGGCTAAGTAAGGAAGCTAAGCTACCTTAAACAACCATTCTGTGCCAAGGGACTTACATAGTCTTATTTCATCCTCACCATATCTCAGTAAACAACAGCATTCCCATTTAACTCATAATGAAGCACAAAGCTCTATTTTTTCAATCATATTTATGTTTCTGAAAAAGATTGTTCCTTCAGCAAAATACAGTAGTACCAGTGTAGTATTTATACACACTGTGAGTCTATGGAAGATTAGGAGAAATTTAGCTACGTCACTTAATTCCAGCAGGAAAAATTTTGTATTTAGATATCACTAAATATTTGTTAATTTAGTTAACATGACTCATTTTATTTCAAAAGTACTTGTAATAAAAAGCATGTTTATTTCTAAATATTGACATTCTATCCTATAAGGGTGTATTAGTATTTTTCACAGAAACAGAACCAACAGGATTTCTCTCTCTCTCTCTCTTTCTCTCTCTCCCACTCTCCTCTTGCTTTAAAAGCACCACCACCACCACCACCAACATAGTTATGTTATTCAGATTGATTAACTCCTTGTATCAGAAATCAAATATAAACAGTAAAGGTTCTCAATGTCTTCTACAGGCTCAAATTTAGAATTTTAATGTATGCAATATTAAAAACCGGATGCATGCAAGTCTTGCTTTATATCCCCATTTGTTTCCACATGTAATATTAAAAATATAGAACCTAATAAGGTTCTGTTTCCTCTCGTGTTTTAGCAATTCTGAAAATTGTTCTGCTGCAGTTGCCTGTTAATGGATTGGATTTTTTTTTTTATTTTTCTCTGTTTTGGCTTTTAACTGATCACAAAACATTTCAGGCTGAGACCTACCTCAGGTTTATCTCAACCACCCCCTCAATATTATAATGTTAATTCCTGCATCATGGTGTTATATGTCCCACTAAGGAAGCACTGCTATTGACTGTGGTCTTTACTTGTGGTGGATCATCCTCTGACTATGCTTTAATTAAATGTTTACATATCTGTCCATTCCATTTAATCATTAGTTTTTCAAAGGTAGGGGCCATATCCTGTTTATGTCCTCAGGATGTAATATGATAATGCAGAATAGATATCAGGTTGGTTGAGGGAATTAACATAAAGAAAAGGGCCAGTTACTAACAGGAAGGAAGCTGAGTTACCAAGCCCACCACCAAATTCTATAACTTTGAGCAAGTCAGTTGTAGACTCTATGCCGCTTCCCTCAACTACAGAAAAAAAAATCAAGTTACTAGATGGTACCACTTTATTTTATTTAAAGCATTTTCTATAATACTTAGCTCTAAAGGTGTTCAATGAACACTTCCTTCATGAATACATCATTAGTTGAGCCTTCAAATTTCTCCTGGTTAATCTGAACCACTGTCTAGAAATTATCCTCGATGAACCCCATATTGACAATGTCATTTATGGGTAGAATGTCATCTATGAGCAGAATTGGATACTATTTTCTGATTTCTTAAAAACAGAAAAACTGTTTAAATTTTTTAAGTTGTTAGGGACATTAAGAATAAGCAAATCGTGTTTCATAATGTGTATATGTAGCCATGGTAGATGCAAAATTGAGTTCAGAAATCCTAAGAGAAAAGAGCTTACACAGAACAGCATATGATGCACTAGTTTTAGGAGGAAGCTTCACATAAAAGGTCTAGTTAAGAAGAATAATTGCTCCCATTTCTTATTTTGTCCGAGTCATATTCACATAACATTCCTGTAATCAATTGGCAAATTCACTGGTGGTAACACAAATGTCCAATTAGCCAACACTATTTGAACCAAACTAGATATTCCAAATAAGTTACCCTAAGGAGGCCATTTTCCCTGTCTAATTCTTTGAACATTATGCTTGAAATATTGAAATGTAACACATTTGTGTTTCATGACTGTGGGTACTTTAGCAAGAAGGAGCCAACAACTCTTTTCAATTGTACCCATGCCTATTTTGGTAGAATATCATGAAGAAGAACTCTTGCTTGTTGAAGTGCACACTCTGCTCTAGAGATCTTCCCTTATCATTTGTATTCCTGCAAAGTTTAATTACACTTTCCTTCTAAGCCTTAATATAATAAACTTAGTGTCAGCATTTTTCCATAACTACCTCCATATTTTAGGATTTATAGGTTCAGTTTGAGGAACATCTTATACTTTGGAAATTTCTTTTTTCATTTATGATTGACACATAATAATTGTACATATACTTAAATTATCTCAGCCTGTTTATTTCAATTTAATATGTAGATGTTTTTGTTTCATGGGAAAAATAACAAAGAATGTCAAAAACAGTTTCTAATCTTTGTGAGCAAGCAATGAGCAGGATTTGTTTTTGTTAATGTTAGATGAAATAAAATAATACAACTATTTTTATATCCAGAGTACTTGTCAGAGAATACAATTCTTTCTTAAGTGTTCCTGTTATTTTATTTCATTTCTATACCTTATACTTACTTTTACTATAGCACATGGCATAGTATAAAGTTATCACTCAGCTGATGCTGCAATAATTATGCATAACATATTACCCAAACTTAGTGGCTTAAAACAATGAGTATATTGGTCTCACTCACTTCACATTGTATCAACTGTGGATTGACTGGTTTCACCTGGGCTCACTGCCCTCTGTTTCAAAGCTGCAAGTTGCTGAGCTTAACTCCAAATAATGGAATAGATTTAGGTCTGCTCCACTTGACTTTGAACCTCTATAATTAACTATTAACTGTCTCAAATTTTATCCTATTTGTAAGTTAACAAGTTTCCTCTCACAGTTTCATAGATGCTGACAGAAAACATGAGACTCTTTGGGCAGTGACCAAGGACGCTATTATTTATATTACTACTACTATTATTTTATTGTATTTTTAAATGTTCATACCAAAGCAGACAGCATGAGATTCATGTTTGCCTTAGTTTATTTTACCTGTTAAACTTTATGGAGCTTATGTGGAGGCAGGACCAGGTGGATGTTTTACACTTACTGGGTCGGTGTCATACTTGAGGAACGCTGAGCTTAGGAAATCCAAATATTTTAAAAGTGACTTCTAGCAAACCTGCTCAGCCATTACCCCAGAAAGAGCCATTATCTTTATTTTTCTGGACAGAAATCTGTTCTCTGCCTCAGAGGGAAAAGTCATCTCTAACGTCCAAGGCTGTTTTCTCTACAAACATTCAGGCAATGATATTCCAGAAAAAAGCTGTCAATGCTTTTTGCTCAGAAGAAATACAGAAATGTGAGTGATCCATGTAGAATTTTCTCCAAATATACTCTTTGGACCAATGTCTACCCAGGGTATGTTCTTCTCGTGGTAAAGTGCATGACTACATCTGTCAACCTTCCACTGGACAAAGTAAGGCATACTACTAATCCAAACTCAGTGTGGCAAGGAAATACACCCCACTCCAAATGAAAAACAGAAGAATGTACATTTGCCGAGCAATGATCCAACCTATAGTCAAAGAATGTTGAAATTACTTAGCTTCTCTTTGATGCTAATGCTAACTGCGGTTAAAGACTATGTTTTATTCACCACTGTATTTTCCATGCACTGCCAGATTATGTCAGTGTGTGATAAGCTTTTTTTAAATTAATGAATCAATGTCCATATCAGTATGTTCAGTATAATTAATACAAATATATAATATTTAATCATTATTACTGCAGTTGCAACATGGTACTTAAAAGACATTACAAGAATGTGGTCCCTGGAGCTATATTTTCAGTGTTCTAATCCTGTATGGCACTTTACCTGGCAAATTACTCACCCTTTATGTATTAGGTTGTGGCAAAAACCACAATTACTTTTGAACCAACCTAATTCCTTATCAGTAAACAGGGGCTAAATATAGTACCCACCTCATAGAGTTGTTATGAGCATCAATTGAATTAATAAATAAAAGGCACTTAGAACAGGTGGGACAATATATCAATTGCCATGAGTATTGGGTATCATTATTACCAGGCATATTGTTAGGAAATTTACATGTATGAATCCTAATTCTTATAATAACCTATGAGATTGGTATTATGTCTATTTTACATATAAAGTCATTAACTCCTGAATTATTTAGCAATTAACTAAAATTAATATCTCCTTCTACTACCAATAATCCATTATTTCAATTAAGCTAGAACTATTATATCTATACAAGATAGATATTCAAGGGTGAATTTTGAATATTTATAAGATAACTAAATAGGCTATCAATATTTACTCTATTTCACGATTTTAGAATCTTCTTATAAAATTATGAATTCCCCATCTAAACAGGGAAGATATCAATAATAATAATTATAGTGATAATCATGATTATAACAACACTGAAATTTTTGAAAATAACAGAAAATAACCTCTGTTTTGAGGAGTTTAATGTGTCTTTTTGGATTAGTGAAATATATATGCATATATTCACTGAGATTTTTCTCTAGAATATTGGCAATCTTTTACAGTTTCAAAATGCTTTACCATGGATTTTAATTTTGATAATATAAGGTGATCATCAAGTTAATAGTTTTTTTTTTTAATTTAGTACGTAGGACCTATTTTAGCTCTCACTTTCCAAGTGAACGTGTAGGCACGTTCCTCATTAATGGATTTGCCTATCAAAATTCCAAAACAAAAAGGTGCCTAGTGTGGGCTATTACTGAATGACTCATACTTCTAAAATCTGTCATGTTTTTTTCCTACTCACCACCTAAATAGATTATAACTCTTCCTCTAACATGAGTGCGCTCTTACTGTTGACCTTAATAGATCTTGATTTCCTACTATGCTTTTTTGTGCACTATTTTTTGTGTGTTAGTGTGCATTTCATTAGGGCTGTTTTTGTATCTCTCTCTGTTAATTAGTTAGTGACTAAGATAGTAAGAGATTCCTTTTGGGAGGATTTTATCTATCAGGCCTCACAGAAACAATATTCATTTCATTTTATAGCTAAAACCTTTCACAATGGAAGAGCTAAATAAAATCTGTAACAACTAATTATCTCTACCACAAAATTATTTACATTTTTTCACTAAAATACACACTATAAACACTACCATAAAAACACGTTACCGTATTATTTCAAACTTTTCTTTAATCTATAACATACTTTGTTTCATATATGATTATTTTGTAAATTTTGACCATCATGTCTTCATGGTGTTGCATATTTTATCAATAAAAGTAATCCCATCCAATGTTTCTGAACTTAAATTTAACTTTCTTGAATCTGAATTCTTACCATATCCATTTTGTTTTTATTTTTCTGCTGTTCAGATTAAAATTTTTTCAATTATAATAAATGTGCTTATGATAATTCAAACAGTAAAGGTATATATATTACAAATTGTCTCTCTTTTGATCCTTTGTTATTCATGTATCAAAGTCAATATTAATAATTTATTCTGGTTCCTGGTATAATTTTTCTATTATTACGTGAAACATATACATTTGCAAAAGTTTTTGTTTCCTTATTAAAATTCCGGTATTTGAAATACTTGGTAATCTATACATTCTTTCTTTGCTTAATAAAAAAAAAAGACTTCTAGCAAAAATTTGTAGTTCCAATTCATTCTTTTATATAATAACCAGAAAGAGTTTATGATTATGATTATGATTATTATTATTATTTGCTTTCTCAAGTAATGGAAAGCATTTTGCAGGAGGCCTCTACTAACTAGTGTAATTAAATATCTGTGTGTTGTTCCCTTGCTTACTAGGGAGATTAAGTCACTTTTGGGAGGGGCATGATTTAGTTTCCTTCTCCTATTCAAGTCCTTCCTCCATATTTTTTGTTGCTTATTTATATATATTCTTTATGTATTCTGTATTACAGCTTGTGTTTCATATGTTTTGCATGTATCTCTTCCTATCTGTCACTCATCGTAACTTTTTTTTAATTATATACACATTATATATTTTGATGCAGTAGATTTTACGTAAGTCGCCTTTGTAGCTTTTGATTTTTCATTATTTTGAAAGGTTTTTATATTAATATAGTTAAATTTGCCAATCTTTCTGTATTGTAATTATTTTATGTTTAATTAGGAAATTATTTCCCAATCTTAAAATTATAAAGTTATCTCACTTTTTGTCTCAGTGTTTTTTAATTTTTAATTTTTGTGGGTACATAGTAGGTGTACATATTTATGAGGTGCATGAGATGTTTTGATACAGGCATGCAATGTGAAATAAGCACATCATGGACAATGGGGTATCCATCCCCTCAGGCATTTATCCTTTGTATTACAAAAAATCTAATTACACTCTTTTTTGATTTTAAAATGTACAATTAAGTTGTTCTTGACTACAGCTACACTGTTGTGCTATCAAATAGTAGGTCTTAGTCGTTCTTTCTAAATATTTTTTTTGTACTCATTAACAATTCCCACCTCCCATCCCTGGCCTCCACTACCATTCCTGGCCTATGGTAACCATCCTTGTACTCACTATGTCCACGATTTCAATTGTTTTGATTTTTAGATCCCACAAATAAGTGAGAACATATGATGTTTGTTTTTCTGTGTCTGGCTTACTTCACTTAACATAATGATCCCCAGTTCCATCATGCTGTTGCAAATGACCGGATCTCATTATTTTTTTATAATAGTTTTGATTTTTTTTACATTTATCTTATTAATCTACCTGACATGCATGGAAAGTCAGCTGTCTTAGTTTCATTACTTGAATAGTTTATTCTTCCCCGTTGATATATCTTCCTATACAACCACCTTCCCAAACATGCTTGGGACATGCTTTCCTTTTGTTTTTTATTGATTTATTTGCCTATTTTCCCATAACACCTGTTTTGATTATTTTATATTTTATTAAGATAATGTCTGATCTTCTTTAGAGTTATCTTATTTCTTTTAGGATCCTATATATTCCACCTTAATAATAGAAGTAATTTTATTGTACCACAAAAACAAGCTGTTTGGATTTTATTGGAATTAGGTTTAATTTATGGATTTGTTTGAAAGAAAACTGACACTTGAAAATGTTCTGTCGTTTCTTTCTTTGTTTTCTAGTACTGCCAAATACTTCTATTTGATGCAGCTTTGTCTTTCCTCTAGAATTTAGGGAAAGAAAGGGTAGAGCGACTGAAGTTTTTGTCTTAAAACTAGATTTCTAAAAATATAGAATCCATTGTTTTTCAGTCACATAGCTTTTGTCACAGGATAACATATACAATGAACACTTAACCAAAGTTTGTGAATGTAAGTTTGAATTATGGACAACTATATTCCAACTATGTTCCCTTACAGTCCACTCCAAATATAGTTGGCCTCTATGGATGTGATGCCCACAGGCAGCTTGAAAGTTCTGCAGATATACCTGTGACTCATGTCTTTCCAGATGAAATCCTAGAATATCAACATTTAAACATAGTTTAAACACAGGACTTCAGTACCTGAGATTTCATAAGTCTTCATTCTAGGACCCAGCACTGTAGCTCAGGACCATCTTCTTACATGGCAATTATACCTCTGAGGTTTTTAACCATTGATGCTTTTTAAAAATCATTGCATACAAGAATTCTAGGATACCTGGTAAATAAGAAAAGAGACAAAATGGGAGAAGTCTTATTTGGAGAAGAGGAAGAGATCCACTTAGAAAAGAGTGTTTGCATAGGGTAAATGTAGGATTAGGGGAGGAGACGATGCACAATTTGGAGGAATAGCATGGTGCAGGATTTGTTGTCTTGGTGGTGGTTGGGTACCTGGCTAATGTGCAGAGAGTGACTGAATAGTGGCAAAAGCAAGCTTAGTCCCCTTTCATAGGTTGCATGGATCATATGTATCCCAGTCAACTACAATAGCTAAATCTTGAGCAGCCAGTTGATGGCTACGCATCTGTGTCTTTGGCAAGCACAATGAGGTAAGGGATATGGGAGAAGTCAACTGCAAGCTTGGTAGGAAAGGAAGTGGAAGCCATATAACTTCTCAGTACATTATTTTCACTCAAAATTTTAGAAATATACCATTCGCATCTATTTAAAAGCCTACATGCCACATGCTCACTATGGACACTGAGGGAGTATTTAAAATTATGAGTGGGGCATTTAGGTAGGTGGAGTGCCAAATCTCCAACATGAATTTGAATGTAGCATTGGCCTTAGTACTTCTGTTGAAAACATGTGCTGAGAAAGTTAATCTCCAAATATCATCAGTATTGATTTCTAATGTTGGCACAAAATCCTTTTCTGACTTTAGGTGAGTGAAGAAAGTAAAGCAGTTATTTTGTCCTTTCAATAAATGACTGAACTTTATCCCTTCATGTTGTGCTCACATCAAAATTTGTTGAATTTGCCTCTTGGCAGACAGGGAGAAGGAGGAACTCAAGGCCTGTGTAGCAGTTTCTCAGTTTGATAATGGCAACATTCCATCAGCAGGCAACGTGGTCTGTCTCCTGAAACTGTGCATCTGTAACATGGCAGCCTGTGACATCCTGCCACTTTAATCCTTTTATTCCTGCTGTCAGTTTACATTTCATAAACATTTAATGATATTGCAAAAATCTATTATAGAAACTGTAACCGTTATTGTAAAATATACATCAATTTGAAAACTCGTTTAATTATTTTTATTCCCAAAAGAGACAACAGAACACGTTGGAAAGATTTCCCACTAGAAAAAATTAATTTAATCTCTTCTAATGGGCATCAATGAAGAAACTGTTTTGCCTAATTCACAGGTATGTAATTTCCTTTCAATTTTCTTCCTCTCAGTTTTTGTTGGCAACTTAGGTCTGAGAAAGACAGAAGTCCCCCAACAATACTGATTGAAAAAAATCACCTGTAGGATTGTCATGAGGTTCTCCCTGCTGGGCTCTGCTCTTTGTTTTCTGTTACCCTCTAGGTAGGTGCTTCATGAACACCTTTCTGTGGTTACTTTTTACTGTCTCACTAAAACTGTTTTCATCCATACTTCTTAGAAAAGGAGAATAACTTGATGCTGTCTGTCTGATTGTAAAATATTTGCTGGGAAAGCAATGCAAAGAAGATAAAGAGGGAGTTTCCTGCTGCAGGGCTACAACCACTGAAAATCAAATTTCCTAAGGTTTCTTTGTTCTTATAGTGAATTGGATTGTAATTTGCTGTGCCTTAAGCACTTTGCTATGTCCTAGATATCACATTTGAAATGTTCATCTTCCGGGGTAGTTTCACATGGTTTCTGAGATTAGTTAATTAAGATGAGTCGAATGTTATTCGATGATTAAAATAGTATCACAAACAAGGACAGTTGTTTATCATGTCCCATGCATTGTGCTTCGCATTGAACATGCATTAGATTATTTAACCTTCACACAATACTATGAGGATTACATTATGACTGTTTATTCTTTGATGGCAAATGTACAAACTGAACCTCAAAGATGCTATGAAACTTATCCAGGGTCACACAGCTAGTGCATTTGGGGTATAGTTCAAACTCAAGGAATATGACTTCTCTCTGTGCTCTTAACCTCATGAATACAGTCTCCAGTGCACAATGACCAAGTGTGTTCATCTTACAAACTGTCAGAGAATCTGTGACAGATTTCTAACACTAGGTGAACTGAAGTATTTAATGAGTGAATTAATTATTTCCTTCAACAGACATTTATTAGGTTACTCTGTGCCCAGCACTGCTCTGGGCACAAGAGATACAGCTGCAAACAAGTCAGAGAAAGAATCTGTAGCTATGGAGATTGTATTATTGCAGATGGATGAGAAAATGACAATTCCCCCAGTTTACCTTGTGCATTCGCTGGAATGTTAGTGACATTTTCATGAATCAACGAGTGATTTGAATACTGCAAATTCAGGCTGCAAGAATCAGTGCTTTAAGCATTAATTTTACTTGTCATTGGGACAAGAGTCGTGTCTTATTTGTGTGGCATTTTCCTCCATGAGCACAGCACCTTGATAAGTAGTCACTAGTGGTTCCTCAAAAATATTTATTAAATGATAGAGTGTTATGAGCTTTAAAAATTATATGCTACTTTCTGATTTTAAAAAGAGAAGAGGGCAATTTGTTATTTTAAGTACCATGTCTAATTCTTAATAATGGGCCATGTGCTTTCTGAGTAATTTGACTTCCTAGCCTTGATCAGGAAAGTGGAATTTCAAAGCAGTATTATGTATAAACAAATGCTGGATTAATAAAGGTGTCCAAATACTTTCTATTAAATAAATACTATAGTTTTAGCTTTTTAAAAGGGCCTTAAAGTGGATGTGAGAACACAGTCTCAGTTTTCAAGGGTATAGACATTTGGAGCAAAAAAAAAAAAAAAAAAAAAAAAAAAACAACTGGAGATAGGTATTCCTCTAATTCTGCAGAGATCTCCAAAAGGATCAGCCATTAAAGAAATAGAAAACCGTCTCTTGCCTTCTTATAAATGTGGAAATGGTAGCAAAGGCAGAACCAGCATCTAGACACAGTCTGAAGCCAGCTGGTTGTTCCCTCAGTGAATTAATTCATTCTTTACTTCATTCAATACACTGACCTGAGTGTGTGCTCATAAGCAGTCGTAGACCTTGTCCTAAAGGAGTATATTTTCTGGATAAGATGGCCTGTGTATATTTGGCTGAGGAAGTTTCAGAGCAAATATTTCAGAGTGCAACGAAGACTGAGGGAGCAGCAACTAACTACATGGGGCAGGGAGGAGGAGGGAAGTCTGGAAAGGAGATTGCATTGGAGGGCCACAAAATAGAAAGGATCCTAACTAGACCCAGCAGGCTCTTTATATTGTTCTGATTCCTCTTAAGAAATGCAACTTGTTGTACTCAGACATAAATGAATGTTACAATTTTAATCACCAGGAATCAGTGTTATCAGGATTATATGGAGGAAAAAAAAACAGAAAACAAGTGTGCCTTAACGTAATCACAGCTGCAGGGTTTCTCAGATACTTTGGAGCATGATGGCTGGAAAGACAAAAAAAAAACCTTTTAATAATGAAACTCAGGGAAATTTAACAAAAACATTTCCTACTTTCTTTCTTTCTTTCTTTCTTTTTTTTTTTTTTGAGACAGAGTTTCACTCTTTTTTGCCCAGGCTGGAGTACAATGTCGTGATCTCGGCTCACTGCAACCTCCGCCTCCCGGGTTCAAGCAATTCTCCTGCCTCAGCCTCCGGAGTAGCTGAGATTACAGGCATGTGCCACCACGCCTGGCTCATTTTGTATTTTTAGTGGAGATGGGGTTTCACCATGTTGGCCAGGCTGGTCTCAAACTCCTGACCTCAGGTGATCCACCCGCCTTGGCTTCCCAAAGTGCTGGGATTACAAGCGTGAGCCACCACGCCCAGCCAACATTTCCTACTTTCAAGAACTCTTGCACTATCAGAGCACTGAACCTAAGATGATAATTGTATGAAACTCAGATACAAGGGTTTCAACCTGTAACAGCATGTCAGAAGCCACTCCTGGCTTCTCTTGGGACTTTATGTAACCTCTAACATTGCATCTATATTCAGTTTATTCCTCCAAAATGTGATGCAATTCCAGTTAAAGTAACCAGATAGGCTTGTGTAATATTAAGCTATAAGAGTTTTCAAAGACAATGTGTTAACTATTGATAATATTTAAACTCAATTATATTATTCCTCCTCCTTTAAACTTACATTAGAAGAGATTTTCAAGTGCCATTATATAAAATATATAAATTTACTATTTAAAACTATATATATTTTTTGCAGACTAGCTCATGTGCCAGAGATTTTTTTTAAAGTCCTTTCTAAAATTTAACATAGCTCAAAATTTATGAAACTGAGCAAGGATCTCTAAATAAATCCGTATTTAAACTACTCATTATTTTTGGCCTCTTAGCAAACCACTGCAATTATAATTTTAAATGCTCTTTGATTAATATAAATATATTTTTGTTAATAATATAAGCCCTGTAGTAATTTAAACTGGAGACCTTTCTTTCCTTATGCTGAAAGCATTAATAGGAAAAGAAAATTTGATAGAAAAATAAACCAGAATGCAGTGATGTCAGAAATCACTTCGGCTCTAATCTTCAGATCTTTTGGAATATTCAACATGAGTGATAAGGAGTGGGATTTGCAGAATAGATGGGCGTGACTCTGGGACAAGTATGAAGACACTGCTCCCTTCTTCCAAGCTTATGCTCAATGTTCATCCCTATGGAAATCTCCTTTATGCCAAATTCTTCCTGAGATCCATTGTCTCTTTTTATTTGACTCCAGATTTGAGCAACTTGTTATTCTACAGAACCCACTGTACAAATGATCTATTATTATTTTAAGTCATTGATATTTGGGTATTGTTACATTCTGGAAAACAAACTTGCCTATCTTGACTCATTCAATCACCTTCCTTATACAAGAGACATATTAATGTAACTGGAATTCAAGATAAGGAAGTTTGCATTAGAAAACTAATTGAGGCTTTGGATTTCTTGAGTTGATTCCTTCCAATTTTACTGTTTTTTCCTTTCTCTATCTAAAAGTATTGTAAATTTAATAAACAGACACATTAACTCAGCCAATTGATTGCAGGATATGGAGATATTCTCACCTTCCCTCTGAGCTCACTGCCTTGAATATCAAGCCGACTGTAAGTCTCTGTGGCAACTCCTGTAGTGTTATTTCCCTGACAGATTCTCAATAGTCTGTGAGAACGTAATCACTGGACTCATTCCAGGCATTCATGTCATAAAATTTCTTGACAAATCTGACACTGATTGGCAGACTTGCTTGCAGCTGGAAATACGGGCCAGAACTAGAAGCACATCAGCTCAATGATTTTGCTTGATACTTGACTTTGTGAGCAGAAAGTTATGAAAGATGCACTCACTTTACAAGGGAAAGGACACCTGCTCTACTGCTTTTCCCATCTGAAATTATTATTCAAACTCAAAATATGCTAATCAGGAGCATAAAGGGTTTTTCTGAAGTAATATCAGAGTCCTTTTTCCAGTTGCTTTCTATAGACAGCACAGCAAGGTGCATGGCTTTTGCAGGTTAGACCATCTTAGCCTGAAGTCCTAAAGTACATTCGCTCTCGGCAGTCTCACAGATATTTGTTTGTCAATGTATGGTCTAAATTGCTTTCTGGTCCTGTGTGATTAGTGTTAGTTTTGTACATTGTCTTTTCAATGGTTACATGATCATCTTTTCTCTAATTAAATTTATACTCCTGGTATCCCAAAATGAAGAAGAGGCTGCCTGCCTACCAGTTTAGCTTTAGTGATTTTTTTATGCTTCATAATGGAGTACTTGTAGAACATAAGTTGAGAGATTTATGAGACATATCTGTTCAACAAACTTGTATTATTTCTTCCTGGGGTCCCAAAGAAACAATTGTCTCTATATGATTAAAACTTTATATTTTCTCCTAAACCAATTGCTTCTTTTGCATTTCCTGTCTTGGTTAGTGAAACTTTCTTCCCTTCCGGTAAATGCCAGACTCTAGGCATGGACAGCTTTGAACTTTCCTGCAAGACTGCAAACTCTATTTCTCATGGCCATTGGTCATATCATTTATTGCCCTATATTACATCAATTAACATGCTTATCTTATCTTCATTATCAGACAAAAAATGAGAATTATGCCTAATTCATATTTATTTATTTACTTATTTTGTAAAGATGGGATCTTTATGTTGCCCAGGCTAGTTTTGAATTTCTGGCCTCAAGTGATCCTCCTGTCTCTGCCTCCAAAAGTGCTGAGATTACAGGTGTGAGCCACTGTGCCTGGCTATATTACTTTTTATCCTTAACAATTCTTTCAAAAGGTCTTCTATTTATATAGCAGATGATTGCTTTATGTTTGTTGAATGAATGGGTAATTTTAGATTGAATTAGTCTGAATTTTCACTTCAGGAATACTGAGGATTTGAACTCTTAATATTACTTTAAATGAGAATTTCCTAATATGCTCTATTACTTTTAGGATATCTATGAGAGGAAAGCTGGAAAGAGATTTAAATGTAAGTACAAATCAAGGCTCTGATAACCTTCATGAGATATACTTCTGACATTATGATGCATATTCAATATGTTCTTTGGTGTATGCTCACAAAGCAAGTACAAACTCTCTGTCTGACAATGTCACTCCTGTTTGGGCCACCTATAATACTTGCGGGCATTGTAACAAGAGAATAAATAAAGACCCACATAACATAAATTTATGTTTTTAAAAGTTATAGATACTGCTAATAATATGCTAAATAAAATGTGTTCTATGCTCCTACCTTGAAAAAATAACTTCCTAATCACCTCGAAGTGTAGGTTCAAATTGTGATCTCTTAGACTCTTTGCACTTCTCAGTTAGAAGGCAGCAGCACAGAAAAAAGAACATCTTTAGGCGGATGCTACTGGTCCTCTCCCCATCTCTTCTTCCCCATTCGCATCCTCCAACTCTGGGAAGGTACTTGCACTAATATGAACACTACTATATATAAATTAAAATTTTATTTACACTTTCCCACTAACTTTTGCCACTTTGTTAGCCATTGAGCCTAGGGGTATATACACCTGAGGTAGGTCTGCACTGAGCATGATGGGCCAAGGAGGAAGCCCACAGAACCCTAGAAGTGGACTTAGGGCCATTTGAAAAGGGAATTCCTGGGACATTAATACACAGAGGGTAGGTTACAAGTGGGGTGCTAATCATCCCACTGGTAGACCCCTCAGGGAGGCTATGCCTGGGGCTGTTGTTGCTTGGGCATATGGGTAGTGTTTCTGGTTCCTAAACATCTCCCCTAAATACACTATTTAACTCTTATGAAGATATAATCACCATTTATAGCTTCATGTACATTTAAGAGAAATTAATGTTTCATCCTTGAAAAAGCTATAGTTAATGAAATTCATGAAATGAACATATGTAGAAAATTCTGAATTCTTGAAATATACAGCAGAATATGTTGCAAAAAGCTCAGGGGTGCAAATAATCAAAACTGATTGTAATCATGTGTGAAAAAGATTTATGATAGTGGATGAACGAGGAAATAAAGAAACAAAGGACGCTGCATAAATTGTTAAAAAACAATGAGAGTATCCATGAAAAATTGAGACTAAAAAAAAAATCTTGCTGCAGAAAGCTTATATCGGGATAGTTAAATAGACCCAATCTGTCAAAAATATCTAGTTTCCTGATGCATTAGAGAAGAAAGGGGTCTGCATCTGATAAGTTAAAATCCTTTGCCAGGAAGGCTTCCTCAAACTTCTTTTTATTTAGTTCAAAAATATTCAAAAAATTGAATTGGAGAGACTTCCACTAAAATTACCAGGAGAGCTGTAATTTTAGAATAAATTTCTACTAATTTGTGATGGCTCTTTCAATAATAACTGTAAAAGCATACTATATGTTTCAAAATACAAATTAATTTAGTGAGAGTTAATTTTTAGGAATAATGTAGCTTTACAAAAGTTATGACTTGATGTCTGTGGATGGCAACTGAGAACACTGAAAAAAACCCTGGATTCAGATCTTGGCTTTAGTTGGAATTGTAGCACTCACTAGATGTATAACATTGGGTAAGGCACTTAAACAGCATACTTTGAGAAACAATTTCTCAACATAAAATTAGGACAATGGTATCTAACATGGTTGTTGTGAAGACTAAATGTGACTACATGTGACAATGCTTTGTAAATGGCACTGTGTGGTACCATTGTTACACACTAATATTAATATTATTTGTCTTAACTCCCTCTTACTATGATTTCTAAAATATGTCATATATATAAAGTGTGCATTCCTCATAAGTGATTTACTTCTTTTCAGCTCAGTAGCAGTTAATTCCTTAAATTTGAATCACTGTAGAGCTTCGTTTCAGTCATTAAAATGACTGATCTGAATCAAGGTGTCTTCTTGTTAGGTTTTGCTTTTATCTGAACAAGCAATTTGGATCAATTAAGCAGTCATCTATTTGACCGTTTGACAACTGAGACTTGTTGTAATTAAAATAAACATCTCAGCTGTGTTTCTGGTCAATCTTGCACAATATCCAACATTATTTTACTGATTTTTTTCTTCTGAAGAGAGTTAAAATGTACATGATGAAAATAACAAAATATAAGGTAAGAGACTTTTATATTATATTCTACAATATGTATGTCTTGAAGAAATAAAAAAGGCATTTTAGATCAGCAAACATATTCCAAAATATTAAAAAATCACCAAATGAGGTGGAAATCTTTCAAAGTCAGGGGAAAATATACTGTTGGATAGTCAACTACGAAGATCAAGCAAAGCCACAAACAAACATATAAATGATTATAGATAAGAACTGGAAAAAAGATTGGAAAGGGTTAATGAAGAGCTAGAATTCAAAGTAAGTGTGTGAAACTGACATTAAATACAACTAAATTTTACCTCATATGACATATATGATTACCATATCAGTAAGAGCCTGGCCTCGGCAAAATCTGTGGCACAAACAAAAGTCTTCTTTGGCCTCCACTGCTTCTTTTACACAAACTCTTAAGTGTTTGTACTACTCTTTACATCCTTTATGCCTTTATATGGACTTGTGGCTTTTGAATATATCATAACTTCTTAGGATATGATTTACAATGTTGTCTTCTTCTCCCTCTTTTTGGGGAAAATACTTATTTTACTTGTTCATTATGGAAAACTTTTAACCTACACAAATGTGGACAGATGAACATAAAATGAACTCAGGTACCCATTCTCCAGCATTAAAAACCATCACTCTATGGCAAATCCTTCGCCACCTACACACTATCTACTCCCTTTCCCATCTGTAAAGTCTTCAGTCTACATATACTTAGATATATGTTATACCGTTGAGATGTATTTTTAAAACCCAGTCACAATACTATTTTTGCACCTAAAATAAAAAGTAGTTCATTAGTACCACCAAACATCCAGTTAGTATTCAAAATTAGAACTGATTTATACCTTTTTTCACATTTAATTTAATAAATATGTAAATAATGCCTATGTATTATAATAATGGATATGTATGTTATGCTCTTCTAATCTATACATTTTGCCTTCATATTTTCTGGCCATTTCTCCCACCATTCAATAATAGAATAGTTAGACACTAAGTGTCAAATCCTATGGAAAGCTAATCTTTCTAATTTGACTTGTGGCTTCTAATCATTAGAAAAGCATGGCAAATTGGACACTGACACCCTCATTTTCTCTTGCCTAATACTGTATTTCAAATATAGGGTTCTGTGACTACAAATTCCGCATTTTTTTTTTTGCATCATACCATGAACCTTTCCATTTTATCCCAAAGGAACACAAAGGTACCATCATCTATATTTTTACTGCTTTTTTCCCTTGCCATGCGGTTTTCTGTCACAACCATGCTATTCATCAGACAAAGGAGAATCTAATTCATTTCTTAAGATAAATTAATACCTGTGAAGAGCTTAATGAAAACTTGGATATGGAGTGGTACATAACATGCACCATTATGGATTAATTAATAACAAGTCAACTCAAACTCACCTCATTTCATAATTTTGACAGGGTCTAATTTTACTTGAGTGGTGGATGAGGGGAAGAGCACAGAAAGATAGCACATGAACTTTATTAAGAAATGTTATAAAACCTCTCACAGTATTCTTGTGGCAGTGATAAAGAATTGGAGGTTGTATGTTAGTAAATTTATTTAAATTCAAAGAGTCAAGACAAATAAAATAAAAAAATATCTCAGGAGATAGGAGGCAAGATGGCTGACTAGACACAGCTGCAAGCAACATCTGCCACTGAGAGACCATGACAACAGGAAGGCTGGAGCACTCCTAGCAGATCTTCAGAATGGTGGCATGGAGAATGGACTGAGGGAAGACACAGATGCTGGGCTGAAGTCAGGGGAAACTAGGAACCCTGAACAAGGCTACCACCACTCACTGGAACTCATTTCTAGCCCCCAGTGACTCCTGGGAAGAAGTGAGTTGAGAAGACAAGAAGCAACCTGCCATGTGGAGCAACCACTGGCACCAAACTGCCAGTGTCCCTGGGGGCTGTGGAGACTCTTGCTGACAGGATTCCAGAGGTCCGTGGTCCTGCCAGCAAGAGACTCCACAATCCCCAAGGAAACTGGAGCTGGCAGGGAAAGCTGTTTAAATAATAGGTAGGGGCAGAAATCCAGCAGGTGCGAATCCCAGAGGTTTCGGTGTGAAAGCATCTCTAGTAAAGCATAGCCGGGGCGCCTATTCTCTAGGCTTGACTCTCTCCCATAGGAGACTTTAGTCCTAGGGCACCTGTTGGACCTGAACTCTTCAAGGCGGTTTTGCACAAGACGAGGCTGGTCTGACCTGAGCAACCCTCAGTCTGCTGGCCTCTCCCTGGGCCCCAGCCTGGCCATACCTGCTTGCAGGGCAGCCTTGGATGACCAAGTGGGGTACCACTTGGGGGCCCACATCATATTGCCTGATGTAACAGACCATACTGGACCAGTGAAGAGCTCTAGTAGAGTGCACCTGCAGATGCACACCAGCCAACCCAGGCCCTCCCCTCACCACAGCCTTCCCTGAGCCACTTTGCATGTATGCACTCTTCCACGGCAACTGCCCAACTGTACTGCCATTGCTGTTGGAACATTCACAGGCATGGAGACCATCAGCCACATGCTGGCCAGCACCCAGAACCTGCGCTGCTGGCAAGAAGCCATGCAGGGACACCAGTGGACCCACCCCATCCCTAGCAGCAGCTGCCACCCATGTGAATGTACACATGGAGGGCACACTCAGTCATTTGCCTAACAGCACCCTGCCCGATGCTAACACCACTGCCAATGCAAATGTGTGCTGGAATGCTGGTGGAGCCCCTCCCCTCTCCCATGCCATGCTGCTACCACTGCTGTTGTGAATGCCAGCATGGAAGCTGGCACCACTGCATCTACCAGTACCCTGATGCAGCTGAGAAGCATGCAACCAATGGTGCTGCCACTGCTGGTGGCATGTACAAATGAGGACGGATCCCGCTGCCACCACCCTAAGAAGCACAGTGGCTGGCACCACCCATTGGAGTGTTGTGGCCAGCAGTCAGGAACAACATGGCCCCTTCAGTGCTGCAGGTTCCTTAACACCAGGGGGAAACAGAACAAAGCCAGGGGCCTGACACCAGCCCTCCAGAGTTAGAACACGCAGTTTACGAGTCCTGAAACGAGCCTTGCCCCCACTAAAATCCTCCAGAAGCAAAGCCAATCAAATGAACCGACATTATACCACAATCAAACCCCCAGGACCATTGAAATATGTTTTTCAAGTTGCTTGGTTTCTCTCTCTGTCTCTTGAATACAACATACTGCTGGGTCTTGCCACACTGTGCCATTTAATTGGGGTATTTATCCAATTTATATTCAAAGTTAGTATTGATATGTGTAAATTTGGTCCTATCATCATGATAAAGCTACTGACCCAAAGATCAGTAGCTTTAAAGATTGAAGAAACATTAGCCAAAAAAGATGAGAAAGAACTAGCACAAGAAATCTGGAAACTCAAAAATCCAGAGTGTTTCTTACCTCAAAAGGACAGCACTAGTTTCCTAGCAATGGTTCCTAACCAGGCTGATAGCTAAAATGACAGAAATAGAATTCAGAATGTGGTTAGGAATGAAGATCATTGAAATACAGGAGAAAATTGAAACTGAATTCAAGGAATCCAAGGATTACAAATAAAGACACAGGAACTGATGGACAAAATAGCAATTATAAGAAAGAATGAAACTGAGCTGTTAGAGCTGAAAAATACTCTACAGGAATTTCATAATGCAATTGTAAGTATTAACAGCAGAGTTGACCATGCTGAGGAAAGAATATCAGGGTTTGAAGACTGGCTGTCTGAAATAACTCAGTCAGAAGGAAATAAAGAAAAAACAATAAAGAATGAGCAAAACTTCTGTGAAATATATGATTATGTAAACATAACCAATCTATGATTCCTGGGTTGCCTGAGGGACAGAGAGAGAAACCAAGAAACTTGAAAAACACATTTCAGGATATTGCTCATGAAAATTTTCTCAACTTCACCAGAGAGGCAAACATTCAAATTCAGAAAATGCAGAAAACCCCAGAAAAATACTACACAAAAAGACCACCCCAAAACACACCGTTATCAGATTCTCCAAAGTTGAATTTTTTTTTAAGTGCAGGTCACTTACAAAGGGAACATCATCAAGCTAACAACAGACATATAATCATGAACCCTACAAGCCAGAAGAGCTTGGAGACCTATACACAGCATTCTTAAATAAAAGAATTTTTTACCAAGAATTTCACATTTGGACTAACTAAGCTTTATAAACGAAAGAGAAATAAGATCCTTTTCAGACAAGCAAATACTAAGGGAATTTGTTATGACCAGACCTGCAATATAAGATCTCCTGAAGGAAGCACTAAATATGGAAAGAAAAGACCATTACCAGCCACTCTAGAAACACACTGAAGTATACAGACCAGTGACACTATAAAGCAACCACACAAACAACTTTGCATAATAACCGGCTAATATCATGATGACAGGACCAAATTTACACATATCAATACTAACTTTGGATATAAAATTGGATAAATACCCCAATTAAATGGCACAGTGTGGCAAGACCCAGCAGTATGTTGTATTCACGAGACCTATCTCACATGCAATGACACCTATAGGCTCAAAATAAAGAGATGGAGAAAAATTTACCAAACAAATGAAAAACAGAAAAAAGCTGGAGTTGCAATCCTAATTTCAAACAAAACAGACTTTGAACCAACAAAGATCAAAAAAAGACAAAGAAGGGCATTACATAACAGTAAGGGGTTCAATTCATAAAGAAGACCTAACTACTAAATATATATGCACCCAACACGGAAGCACCCAGATTCATAAAGCAAGTTATTAGAGACATTCAAAGAAACTTAGACTTTCACACAATAATAGGGGGAGATTTCAACATCCCATTGGCAGTATTAGAAAGATCATTGAGGCAGAAAACTGACAAATATATGCAGGACCTAATCTTAACACTTGAGAAAATGGACCCAACAGACATCTACAGAACTCTCCACCTAAAAACAACAGAATATACATTCTTCTCATCTGCACAAAGCACATACTATACAATTGAGCACAAAATTGGGCATAAAACAAACTTCAAGAAAAAAAAAACGAAATTATACTAGACACACTCCTGGACCAGAGTGCAATAAAAATAGGAATCAATGCTAAGAAAATTACTCAAAACTATACAACTGTGTGGATACTAAACAACCTCCTCCTGAATCACTTCTGAGAAAATAATGACATTAAGGCAGAAATCAAGAAATTCCTTGAAACTAATGAGCCAAGATACAACATGCCAGAATCGCTGGGACACAGCCAAAGTAGTGTTAAGAGGAAAGTGTATAGCACTAAATGTCTGCATGCAAAAACTACAATGATCTTAATTTAACAAGATTTGTTCATTGATTTCTTGTTTTCTACTAGGTTTGGGGTTAGTTTGCTCTTGTTTATTTGGTTCCTCTAACACCACATCTAGAAGAACCAAATAAACAAGAGCAAACTAACCCCAAATCTAGTAGAAGACAAGAAATAACCAAAATAAGACCTGAACTGAAGGATATTGAGATGTGAAAAACCATACAAAAGATTAATGAATCCAGGAGTGCTTTCTTTGATAGAATTAATCAGATAGTTAGACTAAAGAAGAGAAAAAGAGAGAAGATCCAAAGAAACACAATAAGAATGGCAAAAGGGATGTTACCACTGACCCCACAGAAATACAAAAAAAAGAAATTAGAGAACATGATGAACACCTGTATGCACACAAGCTTGAAAACATAGAAGAAACAGATAAATTCCTGAAAACATACAACTTCCCAAGATTGAACCAGGAAGAAATTGAATCCCTGAACAGAACAGCAATGAGTTTTGAAATTGAATCAGTAATAAATAGCCTACTAACCAGAAAAAGCCAAGGGCTAGATGGATTCATAGCCAAATTCTACCAGATTTGTAAGGAAGAGCTGGTACAATTACTACTGAAACTATTTCATAAAATTGAGGAGAAGAGACTCCCTTTTACCTCATTCTATTCAGCCAGTATCATCCTAATACCAAAACCTGGAAGAGACACAACAAAAAAAGAAAACTTAAGGCCAATATCCTTGATGAACACAGATGCAAAATCCTCAACAAATGACTAGCAAATGAAATAAAACAGCACATCAAAAACGTAATCTACCATGATTGAATAGGCTTTATCCCTGGATGCAAAGTGCCTTCAACATATGTAAATCAATACATATTATTAACTACATAAACAGAACTAAAGACAAAAAAATTATCATCTCAATAGATGTAGAAAAGGCTTTCATTAAAATTCAACATCCCTTCATGTTAAAAAACCCTCAACAAACTAAGCATTAAAGGAACATGATTTAAAATAATGAGAGTAATCTATGACAAACCCATAGCACACATCATACTGAATGGACAAAAGCTGGAAGAATTCCCCTTGAAAATCAGCACAAGACAAAGATGCCTTCTCTCATCACTCCTACTCAACATCGTACTGGGAGCCCTAACCAGAGAAATCAGGCAAGAGAAAGAAATAAAAGGCAACCAAATAGGGAGAGAGGAAGTCAAACTATTCCTATTTGCAGATGATATGATTCTATACCTAGAAAACCTCATAGTATCTGACCAAAAGCTCCTTGATCTGATACACAACTTCAGCGAAGTCTCAGAATACAAAATTAATGTGAAAAAAATCAGTAGCATTTCAAAACACCAACACCACCCAAGCTGAGTGCCAAATCAAGAGTGCTATTTCATTCACGATAGCCACAAAAAGAATAAAATACCTAGGAATACAGCTAACCATGAAAGTAAAAGACCTCTTCAATGAGAATTACAAAACACTGCTCAAAGAAATCAGAGATGACACAAAGAAATGGAAAAACATATCATGCTTGTGGATAGGAGGAATCAATATCATTAAAATGGCCATAGTACCCAAAGCAATTTAAGATTTAATGATATTCCTATTAAAATACCCATAACATTCTTCACAGAATGCAATACAATCCTTAACAAAAACAGCAAAGGTGGAGGAATCACATTACCCAACTTTAAACTATCCTATAAGGCTACAGTAATAAAAACAGCATGGTACTGGTACAAAAGCAGGCATTTAGACCAATGGAACATAGCAGAAAGCCCATAAATAAGGCCACACAACTACAACCATCTGATCTTTGACAAAGCCGACAAAAACGAGCAACAGGTAAAGGACTCCCTATTCGGTAAATGGTGCTGGGATAGCTGGCTAGCCACATGCAGAACACTGAAACTGTATCCCTTTCTTACACCACATATGAAAATTAACTCAAGATGGATTTGAATACAACCCTTAAAAGTAAAACCAAAAACTATAAAAACCTTGGAATATAACCTAAGAAATACCATTCTGGATATAGGACCTGGCAAAGACTTCATGACAAAGATGCCAAAAGCAGTTGCAACAAAAACAAAAATTGACAAATGAAACCTAATTAAACTAAAGAGCTTTTGCACAGCAAAAGAAACTATCAACAGAGTAAACAGACAACCTACAGAATGGGAGAAAATATTTGCAAACTGTGTATCTGACAAGGTCTAATATCACGAATCTATAAACACAAAATTTACAAGCAAAAAACAAACATCCCCATTAAAAAGTGGGCAAAGGACATGAATAGACATTTTTCAAAAGAAGACACACATTTGGCCAACAAGCATATGAAAAAATACTCAGCATCATTAATCATCAGAGAAGTGCAAATCAAAACCACAATGAGATACCATTTCACACCAATCAGAAATTAGGTTGGTGCAAAAGTAATTGCATTTTGGCAAAACCGCAATTATTTTGCACCAACATAATTTTTAAAATTTGAAAAATAACAGATGCTGATGAGGTTGTGGAGAAAAGGGAATGCTTGTGCACTGCTGGTGGAATTTTAAACTGGTTTAGCCATTGTGGAAAACAGTTTGGCGATTTCTCAAAGAACTTAAAACAGAATGACCATTTTTACACAGCAATCCCATTACTGGGTACATACCCAAAGGACTATAAATCATTCTACCATAAAGACACATACTTGCATATATTCATCATAGCATAGAGGCGCTTTGCCTGATACCTGTATTTGAACAGCTGTCAGCTCTCCAAGCCTATTGTGTACAGTATAGCATAAATTTGGGGTGGAGTTTAGCTGTTTCCTAATTAGATGTAAAAGGTGCCTTTTTGTCTTGCTGAAGGAGAGGAAGGGGCTAAAGCCTGTGTGGCTATGGTACATGGGAAAAGAGGGACTATTTTATAATGTTCAGTTTCTCAATCATAATAAAGTCTTTATAAGCTTAGGTTGGCCGGTTAAATATGCCAGGGCAACCTGGAAGTGGAGGATAGTAGCAATTCTGCACATACACAACAGTTTGATTATGTAGAGAGGCAAAAGTCTTACCCACTCAGCAAATCACACAGCATCTATGTGATTCCAACTTATATCCAAAAGTAGAATGCCAATCCATATCTTTATGTTACCCATCCTTGTTGTTTCTTATGAACAGGAGCCAGAGGTCAATTGTTGGCTCACAGGAATGAGTGGGATCAGTCTCTTGTGTTCCGTCAGCCTGTGAGGCTGCATAAGAGACAGGTTTAATTAGAGACAATTAGACTCAGCTGTTTATTCCTGTAACTTTAACTGCATTTGGGGTACTAGGAGAACTTGATAGGGTCCCTTCCATTTTGGGGAAAGTTGATCTGTTGGGGATTCTTCCTTGCAAATATTCCGTAGGAACCAATCTCTTGGCTGGTTTATAAAAAGATTCTCTTCCTTAGTAGGGGAAGGGATTCTTTGGTTTCCATGTTCAAGGAGTGGCTTTTGCACTTGTCCTAAGTTGATTACATGATTTTGTAGCTTGAAAGTATCTATGTCTATAAGGATATCTGTAGTTGAGAAAGGCCATACATACATTATGGCCAAAGGGCTGAGCTGCAGATTTTTGGGGAAGGGATCCCACACTCATAACAAGGCTACAGGCAATAGAGACAGCCAGATTTCTGATGTTTCCTGGCATAGGTTAGCAACAGTCCTTTTTAGAGTTTGATTGGTTCTTTCTACTTTCCCTGAAGACTGTAGCCTCCACAGTGAATGAAGGAAGTACTGAATTCCTGGGGCTGAAGATACATTTTGGGTAATTGTCACTGTGAAAGATGGGCCATTATTGCTCTGCAAGCTCTTAGGCAGCCCAAATTTAGGACTTTTTTCCTTTAATAAGAGTTAGAAACTTCATTTGCTTTCTCACACCCAATAGGAAAAGACTCCATCCAACTGGTAAAGGTGCCAATGAATACTAATAAATATGTAAACCCTTTACATGGGGGCATCTGAGTATAGTTTACTTGCCAATTTTCACCAGGGTACATTCCCCTGTGCTTAACAGGTCTTACTAGAGGAGGAGGTAAAGATTGGTTATTCAGGTTATCCTGGGCAGAGTTCACAGGTCTGAGTTACCTGCTTTACTGTTTTAAGAAAGCTTTTTGCTATAAAAGGATGAGAGATTAATTGAAACAGAGAATCTTCCCAAATGAGTAGAGTCATGCAAATACTTAACTATTTTTTCTTGATTAGCACCCAGAATCAACAGTTTGTTGTCATTGATAAGCCAGTCAGCAGGATCTTGAATTCAACCCTGATCTTTAGCCCATTCTTGTTCCTCTTTAGTATATCTCCATTCTGTCATTACTGGGGTGGTGAGCACTAACATGCCCACAAGTCTAACTGGCTCCTTCCGTGCAGCTGCCGCAGCATCTGCAAAGGAGTTTCTCTTTGCCACACTAGGGTCTCCTTTATGATGCCCTCTGCAATGGATTACAGCTACTTCCTTGGGCAGCAAAACAGCATCTAATAGATTTAAAATTTCCCAGTCACATTTTACAGGAGAACCCTTAGCGGTTAGGAGTCCCCTTTCTATCAAGCTGGAAGCTTGAGCATGAAGTACCAGAAAGGAATACCTAGAATCAGTGTAAATGTTAATTCTTAAGTCCTTTCCCAATTGCAGTACTCTAATAAGAGCTTTTAATTCTGCCTTTTGAGCCAAGGTAGAAGCTAGTAAAGACTGAGATTCAATTACCTCATGTTGACTGACAACTACATACCTACTTTTTCTGTTTCCCTGGTGCACAAAACTACTTCCGCCTATAAACAATTCTACCTCAGAATTATCTAGAGGCTTTTCCTTTAAATCTGGCCAGCCAGAATAAGCTTGCTCCATAACTTGTATACAAAGTGATCTAGGGTGGCTGTGGGCTCAGGAAGAAAAAGTAGCTGGATTTAAAGTCTGGTAGACTTTTGAGTTACATCAGGAGTGTCTAGCAACAAAGCCTGATATTTCAATAAGCGTCCCACAATTTATTGGCTTCATCTACCAAAAGAGCAGTTGGGGCAACTGCCCTGAGACATCTAGGCCATCCTGAAGCTATGTGGTCTAATTGTTTAGAAAAACGGCCAGGTGCGGTGGCTCATTCCTGTAATCTCAGCACTCTTGGAAGCCAAGGCAGGCAGATCACCTGAGGTCAGGAGTTCGAGGCCAGTCTGACCAACATGGTGAAGCCCTGTCTCTAATAAAAAAAACAAAAATTAGCCTGGCATGGTGGTGCACACCTGTAATCCCAGCTACTCGGGAGGTTGAGGCACGAGAATCACTTGAACCCAGGAGGTGAAGGTGGCAGTGAGCTGAGATGGCACCACTGCACTCCAGCCTGGGTGACAGAGTGAGGCTTCATTTAAAAAAAAAAAAAAAAAGAAAAGAAAGAAAGAAAAAAAAAGAAAAGAAAAAAAAGATAAGCTATTGGTCAGGGGATATTTTCCAGTTTCTTGACAAAGACACCCAGGAGGGTTCCTTGCTTTTTAGCCACATAGAAGAAAAAAGACTTATCAAGATTAGGAATCCCTAGGGCTGGAGCTGGAGCTGATCCTGATTTCCCATTGAGAGCATTAAAAGCATGTTTACAATTGCTATCTCATTCAAAATTATCTAGATCTGCTCCTTTCGGGGCCTCATTTAAAGGCTTGGCCATATGCCCAAATCCAGGCACTCATAAATGGCAGAATTCTACTATCCCAAGGAAAGCCCACAGCCACTTTCTAGTTTGGGGTTTTTGAATGCCCCGGATAGCTTCCCTTCATTCTGGGGCTATTGCTCAGGTGCCAGAATTTAGGACATATCCTAAGTATTTAACCTCTCTAGTTAAAATATAGGACTTATACAATGATACCTTATACCCACTAGTTCCCAGAAAAGTTAGCAACTTAATGGTGTTTTCATCTGAGTCTCTTTTAGTTGGACTAGCAACAAATACGTCATCCATACATTGGATAATAGTGTTCTTATTCATTTGTAACATCCTTAATTCTCTAGCCAATGCATTAGACTGTCCCTAACCCCTCGGTAAGAACTGTCTAAGTTAATTGAGAAACCAAATGACTATCAGGATCAGTCCATTCAAATGCAAAGATAAATTGCAAATCAGGGTATACTGGAATGCAAAAAAAAAAAAAAAAAAAAAAAAAAAAAAACATCTTTAAGATCTAAGACTATAAACCATTTGGCATCCCCAGAGATCTGGGCTAACAGCCTGTAGGGATTGGACAGAATAGGATGTATGGGAATGATAGTCTCATTGATAGCTTGAAGATCTTGAACAAATCTGCAGTCTTCATTTGGCTTTTTAACTGGCAAGATTGGCATATTTACAAGGAGACTCACAGGACCTTAACAACCTGAATTGCAAAAACTTAGCTATTAATGGTTGGATCCCTTTTTGTGCCTCCGGCTTTAAGGGGTATTGTCTCTTCCAGGGGTATGGGACATCAGGCTTAAGTTGAATGCAAACTGGGGGGATTTTAAAGTTTTGCTTGGAACCTCAGTGTCTCATACACCAGGATTTACTTGGGAGGTTATTTCATTAGGTAAGGTAGATAAGTCACCTACTGACCTTTCTCCCTTTTCACAGGAGAGGAGAAAGAGCAATCTCTCATCTGCCTTGTGATTTCCAAAAGGTACCACTGTTTGCAGCTGAGTCAACAAATATCTTCCCCCAAAGGAGGTGGGACATTCAGGCCTGATAAGAAAGGCATGTGAGAAAGCCAAAGTTCCTGAAGAGCAGCTTAAAGGATAGGTAAAATAATGTCTATGAGCTTGTTAATCTATACCTGTGACCATATAGTTTTCGGTGACAGGCCTGTTATTATAGGTCAAAACAGAGTAAACAGTTCCTGTATCCAGTAGTAAGTGAATATTCTTACCTGCCACTTCAAGGGTAACCAGAGATTCCTCCAGAGATATGACTAGTTGCCAAACCTGAGCTGTTGTCCAATTGGAAGCTCTTGGGTTCCGTCACTCTTGGGCTTGCTTAACTATTTCTGCCATCATTGGTTCAGGTGCCAACAGCTCCATTCAGAGTGCTGAGCATTCCCTCTTTCAATGGCCAATTTTCTTACATTATGCACAATGATCTATGCCCAAGGCACAGTGACTTGGATGTCAAGCTTTAGGTTTTCCACCTTTTTGCTTCCTTTGTTCAGACCAAGAGCCAGAAGAAACCTTATGTGGAAGATGAGCTTAAGGTTACAGCCAAGAGCTACACCTTGTGGGAGGTTCTTTTTTGCTCTTTCTGCTTCCTTTGTTCTGTTATTAAAAGCTTTAAATGCCATATCCCAAAGCAAATTAATAGGAGTCTGGGGACCCATAGCTGGTTTTTAAAGTTTCCTATAGATATCAGGGTAGACTGGGTTATAAAATGTACTCCCAAAAATGTCTGTCCTTCCCTTGAGCCAGAATCAGTGTTAGCATATTTTCTAATTGCCTCAACTAAATGCCCTTGGAACAAAGTGGGATTCTCATCTTTACCCTGAGAAACTTCCTTAATCTTTTCATGGTTAACAGGCTTTTTCATATACTTCTTCATCCCTTACAATGAACAAGTGACCATATAATTTCTCCTCCCCAGGTCCTCACTGCCACTTTGATAGTTCCATTCTGAATCTTGATCTGGAACTGTTGCATCCTTTGCTGGATATATATTATGGTTAGGGTTATGAGCCAATACCTCATCTGCATGGGTCCTAGCTGGTCCCAAACACAGTGTTTCTCTCCTACTGTACAACACAGAGATGACAAAATATGCAGATCCTGGCAAGTTAAACTATAGGTAAGAGTTAATTTTTCAAACTCGTCTAAGAATTTTCCTGGATCTTCAGAGAAATGACCAAACTTCTGTTTACATAAAGCCAAATCAGACATAGAAAAGGGGGCATATATTCTTACAGTGCCTTCTTCCCTGTTCGCCACCACTCTATGTGGACAAAGATTTCCTTTTGGAGGTTGATAAGAGGCTCCACTATGAGTAGTACTTGCAGGGCTATGTTCCTCAGGGTGTGGTGAGTATAGAGTGGGACTAAATGGGTAAGGAGGAGGAGACAAAGGGGTCACAATAGAACTTTCAGATGGACTAGAGGGAGAAAGGGCTGATGCACCTGAAACTTCAGAGCTGACAGAAGGAGGCTCTGCTCCACCCAAAAATGCCTGCTGAACTGTGGGGGCTTACATCAAGGGATCTTCTAGTATGCCTATTTTTTTCCCCTTTCCGCTAATCAAACATGCACACACTTGTTGCAGGGTTTTATCCTGTCTGAGCAGCAAAAATGCTTGAACATATGGTATTTCATCCGATTTTCCCTCCTGCTTACAAAACAAATCAAATTGAAGTATAGTATTAAAGGCCATAGTTCCAGTAGGTGGCCATTTTTCTTCTTTTCCAAATAGTATCGAGGCCAGACAGTATTACATAGAAACACCAATTTCCTCTTTTTAAGCCCATTTAGTTTAAACTGGTCCCAACATTCAAGAATACATTTTAGCAGTGAGTCCTTTGGGATTGATGATGTGGTTCCCATGAAGGAGGGAGGTGATGCTGAAAGAAAAGTTCCAAATCTTGTATTGTCACTGGCCAAGTTCCACTAAAAAGGATACGGGAGGTTTTAAGGCCAGCTGCATTAATGAGGGGATCCCTGCTGAAAACTGAATTATCTTATTCACACTGCCAAATAATATAAATGAACTGAGTCATGAATCTTTTTTTTTTTTTTTTTTTGAGACGGAGTCTCGCCCTGTCATCCAGGCTGAAGTGCATTGGCATGATCTTGGCTCACTGCAACCTCAGCCTCCTGGGTTCAAGCGATTCTCCTGCCTCAGCCTCCTGAGTAGCTGGGATTACAGTTGCCATTCACCATGCCCAGCTAATTGTTTTCTTTTCTTTCTTTTTTTTTTTTTTTTTTGTATTTTTAGTAGAGACAGGGTTTCACCATGTTGGTCAGGCTGATCTCGAACTCCTGACATCATGATCCACACACCTCAGCCTCCCAAAGTGTTGGGATTACAGGCGTGAGCCACAGAGCCCAGCTGAGTCATGGATCTTAGATAAACAACAACATGGAATCAGACACAAGAAATGTCAAATAATGCAAAGGAAATGAAGAGCATTTAGATGAGGATGACCAGAGCAAGCTGGTCTGGGCAATAGTGGCAGTGTGGATTGGACAAGCAAAGCCGATTTGCCTGAATCCAAGAAAGGAAATAAGTTTTTATAGTGTGCAAATGAAATAAAACAGCAAGGAGAAAAGTCCCCTGATTTCCATCCTAGTGCTTCTCGATTATGCCTAATAGGCGCAGCTGCAGCAAAACATAACCGCGTCTATCTAATCTTATTGCTCATAGCTGTTAAATACCAAGTTTCAATCAGCAATTTTAGAGATGAGGCCTTAGCAGCTAGAGTCTTAAAATAAGCCAAATATAAGTAAGCCAAATCCTGCAATGCCTTTTGTTCCCAATGTTTCACAAGCAAATGGATGGAAATTTGGAGGTCCACAGGGGAATAAAAAGTTAAAATACCTAACACCTGTTAAATGAAGTCTCCTGAAAATGACAGTGAAACATAGACAGGAACCAAGAAATTGATCCATGCAGCAAAAAAGGACAAGGCAAATTAATACAAAGACAAAATTAACAAAGAAATTAATAAAGACAAAGAAAAAATTAACAATCAGTTAAATTTCTGTGGTGCCAAACCCATTCTTAGCGGAGGGAGACTTTACTGAATGGAACCTCTAACTCCCTAAATCTTAGGAGGGATTCTAACCCTCCCAAGCTGGGCCTTGAACCCAAGTTTGGTCAAGTGTCCTTGCCTTTTATTAAGAGGAGCCTTTAACTTTCTCTGGAGAGACACTAACTTCCCTAAGTTGGGTCTCTAACCTAATCCCATCCTCTACTCAGGTAAATGCATCCCACTTACCCAAAGTCAGCCAACTGGTATTGCATGCAAATGATTTTCCTTTGGGTCCGGGGTCTCTTCAGTATAATTCCTTCATGGTTCACTAGAAAGATGTTACCAGAAAGGGGTCCTAAATCAGACCCCAAGAGAGGGTTCTTGGATCTCACACAGAAAAGAATTCAGCATGAGTCCACAGTGTAAAATGAAAGCAAGTTTATTAAGAAAGTGAAGGGGTGAAAGAATAGCTTCCCCATAGACAGAGTTGGGCATTCCTGAAAGTAAGAGGTGGAACATGCCTACACAAGGTAAAATGCTTGTTTATATATAGGATAACAAAAACAAAATCATGGGGAGATGTGCTCTACTACAGGGGTTTGTGATAAAGGATTAATTTTTTTAATTACTACATTTTGCAAGAACCATTATTATCTTTAAAGCAAAATTAGGAATGTTTTCGTTCTCAAGATATCGGGATATCAGGACATTCCTGAGCTTGGGTCTGTTTAGTAAGCGTTATTAATCTGTTCCCTTAACCATAAACATCTAGAGGCCTCCTGGGAGTGCAGCCCAGCGAGTCTCAGCCTCATTTTTCCTCACCCTCATTCAAGATAGAATCCCTCTGTTTCAAATGCCTCTGACAATATAATTAGGTGGGTTAATACGAAATCCAGGGTTAAAGCATAAAGACAACAATTTAAAAAATTATGCTTTGTATTTCTATATCATTTGTTAAGATGTACTTAATCCTTCTATTGTTATTGAACAATTTTACAATAAAATCACAGATATCATAAGCCAGGCACAGTTAACACAAAATAAAAATAAGTAGTGAATTGAACAATGAGAACACATGGACACAGGAAGGGGAACATCACACTCTGGGGACTGTTGTGGGGTAAGGGGAGGGGGGAGGGATAGCATTAGGAGATATACCTAATGCTAAATGACGAGTTAATGGGTGCAGCACACCAACATGGCACATGTATACATATGTAACAAACCTGCACATTGTGCACATGTACCCTAAAACTTAAAGTATAATAATAATAAAATTAAAAAAAACCGAAATAGTAGTTTTTTAAAAATCTTGGGTGGTAGTTTAATTCAACCTCAGCATATATCATCTGGACTCCTGCTTCAGGTCAATTAAATGTCAATATTTGTAAATAAAAAAATATATATATATAAATAAAGGTGATAAGAAAAAATTCTGAGAAAAATGATTAAGAAAACATAAACTTTTTGCCATTATAGTATGATACAAACGGAAGGATTCATTTTTATGCTTTGTCTTTCTATTGTTGATGGAAAAACCAAACTAAAATATTTGAAGACATTCATTTTGAGCCAGTGAGGACCATGACCCCATGACTCAGCCTCCAGAGATCCTAAGGACATGTGCCCAAGGTGGTTGGGTTACAACTTGATTTCATATATTTTAGGGAAACAAAAGGGATTGTGGAAGCCAAGGCAAGGTTCTTTTTATGTAGGTGTAGTCTCCAGGTAGCAGGCTTCAGAAATAATAGATGGTAGCTGTCTCCCATCAGACTTTAAAAGGTGTCATACTCTTAGTTAAATATCTCCTCTATCAGGAAAATACATGGAAAGGAAAGGGGATTTTCTACAGAATATAAATTCTCCTTGCAAGAGAAGGCTTTGCAGGGCCTTTACAAAATATGCCAAATAAATATGTTTGGGATAAAATGCTTTTGTTTCCTTTAGGGCCTGTTATCTGCCATGTGATGTTATACTAGAGTTAGGTTGGAGCTGGTATCTTATTGCTACAAAGGATCTGTTCTGTCAGTCTTAGAATCTCTATTTTAATGTTAATACTAGTCAGTTTTGTCTAAACTCCAAAAGGGAGAGAGCATAATAAAACATGTTTGACACTCCATTCCCATCATGGCCTGAGCTAGTTTTTCAGGTTTCTTTGGAATTCCCTTGGGTAAGAGGGGAATCCAGTGTCAATTGGGGTTCTTGTATTTTATATTTTGTTTACACTATTAAACTGTATTCTACCACTTATCTTTGACTTTGGTCTTTGTCTTAGAAGGCAAAAAAGCTGAATGCCTGATTCAACATAATTTTTTGCATCCTTGAATTTCTGGCTGATTAAAATTCTCATGATTAATTCAGGCATGGTGGCATGTGCCTATAGTTCCAGATGTTCGGGAAGCTGAGGTGAGAGGACCACTTGGGCCCAGGAATTTGAGTCCAACCTGGGCAACTTATTGAGATGCTATTTTTGTTTTTAAAAAAGTCTCATGATTGCAAAGAATCACAGTTAAATCTAATAAGCTGAGCCCTGTCAGTAATATTGTCAAGCATATCAATTGAATTTTGTGTCAATACCTGAATATTAACTTTCACAATAGGTTGATAAGTACAAAATTAGAAAGAATAAGAACTAATATTTGATAGCACAACAGGGTGACTATTGCCAATAATAACTTAATTGTACATTTAAAAATAACTAAAAGAGTGTAATTGGATTTTTTTGTAACAGAAAAGATAAATAATTGTTGGATGGATATCCCATTCTTCATGATGTAATTACTTGATACTGCATGCCTGTATAAAAACATCTCATATACCCCATATATATGTCATTTTATAGACAATTTTATAGAAAACTTTAATTTTAATAAAAATTAAAAATTAAAATTAAAAAATAAAAAGATCATGAGATATATTGGTACGCATTTTCTTCTGTTTAAAATACTTCATTTAGTCATTTTTTAGGATAGGGCCACTGGTGACAAATTCTCTTAGTCATCATTTATGTGAGAAGTCTTGATTTCCCCCTTCATTCCTGAATGATACTTTTGTTCCATATAGAATTCTGGGTTGACTGTTCTTTTCTTTCAGCACTTGAAACATGTTTTGCCCCTGCTCTCCATAACTACCAATGAGAAATATGCTACCATCCTAATTGTTGTTTCCATAATAATAACGTATTATTTCTTTCTGGCAATTTTGTCTACAGTTATAAGAATTTTACGTATGATATTTTGGTGTGGATTTTTGGCGTTTATCCTATTTGAACTTTGTTTAACTTTTTGAGCCTGTAGATTATGTCTTTTGCTAAATTTGGGAAGTGTTCAGCTGCTAAATCTTTTAGTACTCTTTCAGCACCACCTTCTTTCTCCTTTCTTTTTGAGATTTTATTGTCACAAATGTTAGGTATTTTGT